>NC_000009.12:37888787-38040303 GCF_000001405.40 Homo sapiens | reverse complement strand
ACCCTTGAGGCAGCCAAGACTTGCCCAAGGTCACACACATGGCCAGCCAGTGGCGCAGTCGAGGCCACACCCCAGCCTTTCCCCATCGAGTTGTGCCCCCTCTGCTTCTCTGAACCTAATGTTCAGCTGCCATGGACGGTGAGTTCTGAGCCTTGGAAGGAGTCGCCTTCCTGCACACAGCAGATAGCGGCTATGGGGAAAGACCGGCTGACCTGAGGTAGTGTACTAATTTCTGAGGAGGAAAAACCCCCAGGCTTATCCTCCAGAAACAATCACCACAAGAATTAGGCGGCTGTAAACACGCCTGGGGCGCAGCTCTAGAATGCAGTTTCAGAACCCAAATCCTGGGTTCTGGCTTAAAATAAGACTGGGGCCTAGGGATTCATGGAGGGCAGGGCATGGGCCGCCAGACTCCTGTCGAGAGGCCCATTTCTCCTCCTCTCCCCTCGCCCCTCGAGCTCCAGCTGCAAGTTGCCCCAGAGGCCTGTGGCCTACTGGACCAGCCGCTGCCCTCGCTGAGGCAGGAGGGGATGGTGGGCCCGGCCAGCCTGGCCTGGACTCATGAGGGAGCTGAGCTTCCCTGAGGTACTTCTTATATCAGGGCTGTTTCCGGATGACCCCTTTGCTACGTGTTTTACTGCCCTTGTGTGGTCAAGTTAAAGAGGTTGTTCAGGAAGTAGGATTACAACGGGACCTTGTCGTGGCTTTGTAACCTCTGCTCTGTAGATGGCAGGGACTGGGCCCACAGGGAGGGGCCAAGGGTAGTAAAATCCAGAATCTTGGAATCCATTCATTCACATACTCCTTTGCCACAAAGTGGGATGGGTGTGCTTGGCCCCAGGGCCATGACCCCCTTCGGATCTTGCAGACTTCTTGCAAACTTGAAGTGGCAGCAGCACATACAGGCTAATGACTAAGCAGTTCCCACTGCGCTTTAAAGTCTTGCCTTAGGCTTTCAATTGTGCTTATCATTCAAAATGCTCTTTTTTGCAAAAGAGCCCATTTTGTCAGTTTTCTTCTTGTTTAGATTTAATGATTAATCAGAAAAGTGGTTTTTTGTTTTTAGGTTTTTTTGTCTGGTTTGGAGATAACATTGGAGGCTTAACGCCTGACAGCAGTATCTGACAGGGCACTTTATCTTAAGGATGCTTTTCACCATTCCAGCTATGTATTATCCACATTTTTCCGGGGAAGAAAATGTTCTCTGGCGACCCCTTTTTTGTAGTGTAGTGTCCTGGGCTGTCACGCCCGCCCGCCAGCCCTGCCTGATAAGCGATAAGCGTCAGGAGTTCAGAAACATGTTTTTCTTCACGGCTGACAGTCTGTCTCAAAAAACTTCCATCTCCTCACTTCCTCGGGCTCCTGATCCCACCCGCTCCATTCCTGCCTTTGTTCTCTTTGGCACACACTCCCTCTCCGGGGTTCCATCTGCCTTTCCCTACTTCTCCTTGATACCTCCCTGGGGGGTGGCCCCTGCCCACTGTCACTCCCCAACACCCAGTTTCTCCCTGCCCCACCCCCGGGGCCTCCTAGATGCCCAGGCAGCTCATTGGTTGGCCTGGGAAGCGGGGCTGGCTCATGACCCGAGTAGGGAGCAGAGTGGGCTGCATCCCTGTGTCCTGGGGAAGGAGGCACTGGGCTGGGGCAGGAAGGAGTCTGGGAGTCAGGCAGACCCGCTGCTTTCCTTTGCTGTGTGACATTGAGCACATTTCTTAATCTCTCTGAGCCAGTTTCCTCATTTGTAAAATACATTTATTCATCTACTCAGTACCTTACTGTGTGCCAGGCCCTGCATTAGACTCAGGGACCAAAAAGATAAAGTGAACATAGGCCCTGTCCCAGAGTCTCCAGTTTGGGGTGGAGGTGGGGCTTCTTAGTAATCATGGTAAGATGACTCCCTGGGTGTTAGGGAAGGGGAAGTGACAGACACAGATGTGTTTTATGAACCGCAAAGTGCAGTGCACACGTGGAGAGTGTTGGTTCCTGGGGCTCCCAGGTCCATTGCTTTTGTGATAGAACAGGGCCTGCCTTGTGGTGCTCTTAAGTCTGGAGGTCCCCCACGCCTGACCTGACCACGCCTGGTGCCTGTGCGCCCAGCCTGTTGTGTGCTGCTGAGCTCTGGCCTGCATGGAATGGCTGGGCTGGGGCACACATGCATGGGGCGTAGGATGGGGAGGGCAGAGCCGGACAGCCAGACCCAAGCTATAAAGCAGGGTTAGGGGAAGATTCTGGGTGCTGTTTGGAGTTCTCCAAATAGAGTTTGGCCTGACTTTTAAAAACTCTTAGACAATGTGTTAGGAGTTAGTTAAACCACTTTTAGTCAGTAGGAAGAGAGCCAGATTTTAAAAAAAATCTTGTTAGAGTGTGACAGAATGTGAAATGTCACTTTTTAGCTCCTCTTCTAGCCCAGCCACCTTGTGTCATGCCTATTTGTGAGCCTGTGGCTATCCCCCAATGAGCCTGTGTCTCCTGCAGGAAGGACCACTCCTTCTGCTCTATGTTCCAGAGCCCAGCACAGGATCTGCCCCAAGGTCAGCCCAGGGAGGCTGAATGGAGGAGCAGACAGAACTTCAGGGCTCAGAGGAGAGAGGCTCACTTCTAGCGGAGGTGGGGTTCTCAGAATGGTACATGGGGGCTGAATCGATGATAATGACACACAGTTGAGCCCCTCCTGTTGCCAAGCACTGAGGTGGGTTCTGTTACTATCCCCACTTTATAGTGAAGAAACTGAGGCCCAGAGAGGTTGAGCAAACTTCTCAAGGTGACACAGTGTGGATTTCAACCCACATTTCACTCTAGAGCTCATGTTCTCATGTGCCGAGCATTGGAGGTTAGATAGAATTTGAACATGCAGTGATCAGAGAAGAGAGAAGGGCACAGTATGAGTGAAGACCCCCTGGGGAAGTTGGGGGCTGGTGACTCTGCGTGTGACTGGAGCGGGCAGTGGTGGGGGCAGGTGTCGGAAACAAGCTCACAGCCCTGTTGACCATGGGCCTATATGGAGGTAAGATAGGAAGTTTCCAAATGACACGGAGTACTCCAGCAATTGGTACTTTACACAGACTACAGACAAGAGCCCTGTGTGCCATCTCTTTCTCCAGTTCTCTTGTTTGAGCCCACTGTTGTGTCATAAGGAGATCGCAGGATTCTTCTCCGGGAAAAGAGGGAGTTGTGTCAGCCTAGTAGGGCCCAAAGCCAGGCTGTCTACAGGGCAGTACACAGAACTGCTTTTACCCCAGCTCCCGTGCTGCGGGGTCCTGCACCAGTCCCTTGCTCTCTCTGGGTCTATTTTGCTGTCTCTGCAGGGAGGAGTTTCATAGTAGAGTCACTTCTAAGTCTGTTGAGCATAAGATTAAGAGACAGCACCCGAGTTTGAGTCAGGGCTCTGCAACTTAACTGCTTTGGTGACCTTGGACATGTTATCCAGCCACCCCATGCCTTGGTTTTTTTCATCTGTAAAATGGGGACAATATGAGAATCAAATCCATAGGGATGTTGTATTAAAAGAACTGAGCATAGTCCCTGGTAGCTGCTCTCAGTATTTCTTGTATTATTATTCAGCTTCTCCCATCCTTGCTCTCTCAAGTCCCTCACTGTCCTGTGGCTCAATGGAGAGAACCCCAGAGAGTCTGGGGCTCAGAGACTCTCCAGTTATCTCCACTAGCAGAGCTCCTGCTAGGCGGGGGATGCCTGGGTCTGCCCTGTCTTTCGGAGCTCATTTGCTCTGTAGACGTTGAGATCATCGCCGCCAGTGGCCACCCAGCCTCAGCCAAGCTCTTGCAACATTCCCAAGGGCTCTGGGGGTTCCTTGTGCCCAAGTCCTGCGTGGGCAGAGCTCTAGGCAGGCGGCACGTTTTGGCAAGTCTTTAGTGGTGTCATTGGTAAAGAGTTTGCTGTGGCTGCGCTTGTTAGGACTGAAGAAATACAGTTTTTACAGCCCTAACTTTTGTTCCTCCCAGATGCTAATAAACTGTTAGCAATTTTGGTTAAAATGTGGCTGTTTTAGAAATTCATTCCCCTGTTAGTTCTACCTCGTTGAGGTTTGGTCTGGAGAGAGGGCAGTGCCCCATGCGTTAGAGTGGGTCGGGGCGAATGTGGCTGGTGTTTCTCTGGGGTCTTCACCTTATGGGGCAGCAGGGCTTGAGCAAGAAGGCCTGGTATCCCAAGCTCTGGAACAGGAGTTTGGGCCTGTCTGTGCCTGGGTGCTGCAGGGAGAAGATCTTGGGCTCAGATTCTTTGCCTCTTGACTCACTGTATGACCTTGAGCGAGTCACTTCCCCTCGCTGGGTTTGGGAAATCACTGGGGATAATGCTGAGGTTTTGCACGCGCCTGTTTCTGCTGGAGACCAGAGAGTGATTCTCAGTCTTGGATGGATTGTATCCAAGCTCCTAGGGGAGCTTTTAGAAATACTAATCCCAGGCCCCACCTTGGGCCACTTAAATCAGAATTTCTGGGGGCCAAACTTAGGCATGGTGCATTGTAAAAGCTCCCCAGGAGTTTTTCTGATGTGCAGCTATGTTGAGAATCACTGGACTAAACCAGGAGTACTGTATGACCCTCAGGAACCTAAAATATTTTCTATATGGTAATTTACAGGAGAGGGTTGCTGACCTCTCCCTAGATTATCCACTCATGGAAGGTAGACACTGACTGAGCTTTGTCCTTCTGTCCCCAAGACCTACCCCACCGTGGGCATTGCTGAACTTCAGGATGTGATTCTGTGCTTCTCCCATGGCACCCAACCTTTCACATGCCACTGGGGAAAGAGGTGGAGAACCTCTCTCACTGAGCAGCCTGTGAAAGTGAGAGGGAGGGATGCAGTTTTATAAGGTTGGAGCAACCCCTTCAACACTGGCTCCCCTATCCCCAGTCCTATGCTTCAGGGTACCATAAAAATCTCAGGAGGACTATAGAGTTTCTAGTGGCAAAGGATCTCAGTCTAGGTCCTCCTTGCCAAGTGCTCAACCCGCTTCTGCTTGGAGGTCCCCTGTGACAGGGAGCTCACTACCTCCCCAAATACTCTGTTATACTTTGAATAGCTCTGTCTGATCATTCTTCCTGAAATTGAGTTGAAATCTTTTTGAGAACTTCTACTGGTTGGTTCTCATTCTGTTCTCTGATCCCACAGAACACGCCTGCATCCTGTGCCAGGGGTTGACCACTGTCTTGCATGCCCCCAACAGATACCCCTGAATCTTCTCTAGTAGATACCCCTCGGTCCCTTCAATTATGCCCATGAGACGTGGGGGAGAGTCTGGGCTCTTTATCATCCTGGTGACCGCTCCTTAATTAAAGTACAAGGCCCAGGCCGGATGGGGTGGCTCATGCCTGTAATCCCAGCACTTTGGGAGGCCGAGGTGGGCAGATCACCTGAGGCCAGGAGTTCTAGACCAGCCTGACCAACATGGTGAAACACCATCTCTGCTAAAAATACAAAAAATAGCCAGGCATGGTGGTGCACACCTGTAATCCCAGCTACTCTGGAGGCTGAGGCAGGAGAATCACTTGAACCCGGGAGGCAGAGGTTGCAGTGAGCTGAGATCGCACCACTGCACTCCAGCCTGGGTGGCAGAGCGAGACTGCGTCTCAATAAAACAAACAAATGAACAAACCAAAAACATGAAGTACTAGAGAAGATTCAGGGGTATCTGTTGGGGGCATGCAAGACAGTGGTCAACCCCTGGCACAGGATGCAGGCGTGTTCTGTGGGATCAGAGGACAGAATGAGAACCAACCAGTAGAAGTTCTCAAAAAGATTTCAACTCAATTTCAGGAAGAATGATCAGACAGAGCTATTCAAAGTATAACAGAGTATTTGGGGAGGTAGTGAGCTCCCTGCCACAGGGGACCTCCCAAAGAGCTGGACGTGATTCTCCATTGGTCCTTTGGTTGTACAGAGTAGAGGGAGACAGTCTCCTCTCTCATGGTGGATCATAACATCATTATCACTGTCCTTGCAGCCTGTGGTCAGGTTGGCTGTGGGAAGCTGTGTTAGACCACATGAGCACTGCATCACTTTAGTAAAGGTCCCAGGCAGTGGAGGCCTCTGAATTCTTGCATACAGGTGGCAAGTTATTACATTATTTCTTCCTCCTGTCTACCTGCAGTTGGTTTTATGAGGGGCGTTAGTACACTTCCCAAAGGGCTTGCCCGCAGGGTGAGAGGTGCACATTGAACTCCCTCACCAGGCAGATGGGAAGTGTGGCCATGAGAGAGAGCTTCAGGGGCCCTGGGTTTATGACATCGCTGGGCCAGGAATGAGGTTAATATTTTTAATGGCGAAGGGTGAGCCCCGTTATTACCCGAGCTCATTCATCAATGGCAGAACCCGTTTCACCTGTTAAGTGCCCTCGGTGTGGGTAATTCATGAATGGGAATCCAATTTTCTTTTTAAAACCCAAGCCACCTCCCCCTTCTTAAATCCAGGAGGTGGTGCTGGGGGGGTGTCAGGATTTTACAGCAGTTTTTTCCTGGGTAGGAAAGGCTGTGGACAGCTTTGAGGGCCTTTCCTGCCTTACTCACCAAGCAGGCCTGCGTGAGCCAGTCCATAAGACTGAGAGTTATGGAGAGGCTGGGGCTGCAACAGCTCTAGTTGTGGGACCCAGGATAGATGGGAAACTCGGGACCACCTGTTTTATCCTGTTGCCCACTGATCAGAGGATGGGCATAACAAAAATATGGGGAGGGGGAGTGTAACGAGACCACTCAGGTGGACCCTCTCCAAGCCCTTCCGAAATGATTGGTCAACTAGGGCATTGGATTAATTTTAATTTTTATTTTTTGTGGAGGCAGGGTCTCCCTATATTGTCCAGGCTGGTCTCGAACTCGCGGGCTCAAGTGATCTTCCCAAATTCTACCAGCATGAGCCACCGCACCAGCTGGGGTATTGGTTTAAATGTCTCCAAGGAGTACATTTTTCTGGGATCTGTGGGTTGGAAGGGCCCCCTCCCCGAATTGGCTGGCCCCAGTCACTGGTGTTATCCCTGATAAATGGGCATGATCATGGGGCACCCATAGAGGTGATGGGGTGCTCACTTTTATCTTAGGAAAGCATAGGCTTTAAATTATTCCCAGATGCCCCATTGGAGCCAGCACCTGCTTTGAGGGTGATTGCAGGCTAACCATGCTGACCCTGAGGGCCGCCTCATCTCCTTAGATCGTCCAGTCCTCACTGCATTGTGGATGCTTGGTTTTCTAATTCAGCTGGTCTCACCCTAACCAGATGAAAATGGAACCACTTCTACCATAAAATTCCATTTTCTTGCTGGTTCTGATGAGAAAAATCAGGTTTTCTTTACAGTCATGTTTGAAAATAACAACAGCCAGCATATTTTAGCACTTAGTACTTAGTGCATACTGGGCCCAGTACCAGGGCTCACTCTTTCTAGAGAAGCAGGTTTTCCTTCTGGCTGTCATTCCCTCCTCTGCCTGGCACGGGTATGCTTCCATGTGCAGAGGTTTGGTGTTGGGGTCCGGGGCCTCTCCATGGGGACAACTTCAAAACAACGCTGGTGCTCATTCTGTGTAACTTGAAGACAAGGACTGTGCCACGCTGCACTGGCTTTGGTATGTGGGGAAGTAGGATCCCCCAGGCAGGAGGGATACGGCTGGTACAGGGTGGAGGGAGAGGAGAGCTGGAAGCCAGGCTTCAAAGGCTGCAGGCGGAAGCACTGCTTCCCCAGGTGTGGCCCGGGCAGGGCAGGTTGCAGGTGTGCCGGAGTCACAGGGCAGCTGAGGAAGGGGAAGGGAGACTTCCAGCACTCAGCTGACTTAAGGGAGTTGTCAGGTGGCCTTTGCTCACGGTTGGCGCAACTGAGCCAAGCTGGCAAAGCTGCTGCTTCTTCCTGTCAAACTTCCCTTCAGAGATCTCTTCCTGTTGCCCAGAAGGAGCCTGGACTTAGAAACTCATACAACAGGCTGTAGGTAGCCCAGGAGAGCCAGAGCTTTGGGGTGACGCTGGCCTGGGTTGAAACCTGCGTAGCCTTCTGTGCTCTGAGGCCTTGGCAGGGTTCCTAGACATTTCTGAGCTTCGGTTTTCTCATCTGAAAATGAGGTGATTAGGAAGGATGAAATACGATGATGTACGTGAAAGCACAGAGCCAAGAGCCTGGCTTGTAGAGAAGGTGCTCTCTAGGCGGTGCCCCCTCTGTAAGCATCGTCCCTTAGCCTCCTGCCTGTTCTAGTCCTCTAGAACACTCAGGCGCTTGGAGGGTCTGGTCCGAGGTTCTCGGGCCCTGGCACTGGAGGATCCCAGGCTCTGGGACTCAGCCCCCATGAGTCCTGCCCGGTCCCAGGTCTTCACAGAGAAGTGGGTGAAGAGAGAAAGCTGGGTGGTAGGTTGAGGTGTCTTGTGATAGCCAAGTTATCAGCAAGGGGCCTGCCTCCCCTTGATTTACTCATCAGCAGTGGATCAAAGTTTGCTCTTTTGAAATGGGTAAGTCTGGGATTCAGTTCAAGATACCTTTGCCTCCCTTTCAGGATAGAATGTTTCCAGTGGCAGGTGATTTATGACTTTGCATTTGGAAGGAGATTTTACAATGTGCATTAATAAATAAGGGCCATTCTGGGCCCGATTCATACAGCCGTTGTCAAGTGCTGTGTTGGTGTTTCATGGAAACCAGCTCCCGTGATGGTCTCAGATGTCCCCTTAAAGCGGAAGGGACACAGGGTGGGAAGAGGGTCTGGAAAAGTCAGTGCTCTTAAGCAATAACATGCACACCAGACCATTGACATCATAGGAAGGCTTGGTTTCTAAAGTAATACTAAAAGGACTGAAACACTCACCTGGGGTAATGCTTCCCTAGAAAGCATGGTGATCTCCAATGAAATTAGAAAAATGGACGGTTAGGGGTTTCTTATGAAGCTAAACTTACTCACCTTAAAGGACTATGCTTTATTCTCAATTTCCTTTTTACCTTTTTACTGTTAAATTGTTATTGTCTTTATCTTTTTTCGTTTGATTTTGTTTTGTTTTGTTTTTTGAGACATAGTCTCTCGCTCTGTCACCAGGCTAGAGTGCAGTGGCGAGATCTCGGCTCACTGCAACCTCTGCCTCCCGGGTTCAAGCGATTCTCCTGCCTCAGTCTCCCAAGTAGCTGGGATTACAAGCACACACCACCACGCCCAGCTAATTTTTGTATTTTTAGTAGAGACGGGGTTTCACCATGGTTGGCCATGATGGTCTCTATCTCCTGACCTCGTGATGCTCCCACCTTGGCTTCCCAAAGTGCTGGGGTTAAAGGCATGAGCCACCATGCCCAGCCCTTTCCTTCATAAAATGTGGGTGAAGACAGATGGCGGTTGGGTTCTTTTAGTGTGCGTGATCTTGTCTTTCCCCCCTTTTTTTTTTGTATAATTTTTTTGTATAGTAGTCCATGAAATCCAGGATTCTGGCCCTAACAACCCACTCTACCCATTCTACAGATGGGGAAATTGAGGAGCTGATAGAATGACTTAGCTAATGGTGCCCTGCTGGCAAGAGGAGGGGATTACAGTCTGGGCCTCAAGCTCCCCATGGAAACTTCTGGATGTTGGTGTTTGGGGAGGGGTCATCACGATCAGCTACATAATTTGCAGGGCCCATCCCACAAAAAATAAGAATGTGAGGCCCCTCATTTAAAAATTATTAAGAATTTCCAAATGGTGATGGCAGGCTGTTAAACCAAGTGCAGGGGCCTTTTGCGACTGCACAGGCCACTCACCTGTGAAGCTAGCCCTGGAAACTATAAACATCAGTCCCTGATATACTGGCATTTAAAAATAAGAACCTAATGTTCTTAACCCCAGAAATAAAGTGCATTGGGCCCGGCCTCTTAAAATCCCCGTTATGCCTGACTTAGAGCATTTCCTCTGCTCTCTGCAGCCCTTTGTGAGGAAGCTTGAGGTTAGAGAAAGCAGCAAGTGGGAGGAATCGCAGCAGTGAGGCCTCTTATATACCTGGAGGAAAGAGGTGGGCAGGTGGTGTTTATCTGGGCTCATTTTGCTGTGTCGTCTACAGAGTGTGCGCTCTGGGGGCTCAACATCTCTGAGGGGGGAAGTTGTACATGGTCCAGGACTAATGGATCTGGGGTCCCCTGCCCCAGGCCAGACCTGTGTGGGCTTGGTTGGGTGGGCAGTTGCTCTCTGACTGGGAGCAGCAGCTGGTGTGATAGCTGGGTCCAGCCAGATAGCTGGTTCCATTGGCCACAGCTGCTGGTCATGCCCTCACTGGACTTTGTGGTTTAGGGCAGACTGCAGCCCTTCTCCCTTTCCCCACTGGCTGTGAGAGTACACCCACATCCATCTCGCAGTGATGTGGAGAAAACCAGTTGCAATGCATGCTGTTGTGCTGAAGCATATGGGAGTGTGGGCATACTTGCTTGTGTACACGCATGCACGTGTACATCTAGGTGCAGGGGCAGATGCTGTGCAAATGTGTACACATTTACTTATTTATCAAATACTTCAGCAGTGCTTACCATGCATATTGGTCTAAGCATTTGACAAATACTAACTCATTTAAATCTCATAGCAGGCCGGGTGTGGTGGCTCACACCTGTAATCCCAGCACTTTTGGAGGCTGAGGCAGGCGTATCACTTGAGGTCAGGAGTTCGAGAGCAGCCTGGCCAACATGGTGAAACCCTGTCTGTACTAAAAATACAAAGATTAGCTGGACGTGGTGGCGTGTGCCTGTAATCCCAGCTACTCGGGAGGCAGAGGTGAGAGAATTGCTTGAACCAGGGGATGGAGGTTGCAGTGAGCCTAGATCACGCCATTGCACTTCACCCTGGGCAACAGAGCGAGATTCCATCTAAAAAATAAACAAATTAAAAAAAAAAATCTCATAGCAACCCCATGAGGGTAGGTCTTGGTATTATTCTCATTTTATAAATGAGGAAATGGAAGCACAGAGAGATCAAGTATGTCATGTAAGTTGCCCAAAGTCATGCAGCCAGAAAATGGGCAAGCACTTGAGTAAAACCTTGCTTGTCTATACTGTTGTATGAATTGTCCCTTATTGGTAGGACTTCTGGCTTTGCCCTGGAGAGAAATGGCCCCATAGACCCTCTGTAGATTAATTTGCTCATTGACTCCCCCAGCATTTACTCACACCCCTTTATGCCAGGCTGGGGCTGGGCAGAGTTGATTGGACCACTTGGTGTTGAAAGCTTTGGGCCTGGTGGAGATTTCAAGGCAAAGGCTGTGGTGGACTAGAATCATTTACATGTTTACAAATAGGCTTCTGGCTAGGATGCAGTAAGGGGTCCAGGGCCATGAAGGGAAAGCTCCAGGAGCAAGGAGGGTTCCCTGGGCCTGGGAAGCTCGGTGGTCCTGTATCCACTTGTCCATGCCCTGGCCCTGGAGGGCTTGATCACAGAGGAGCAGCAGGCAAGGTGCCCCCTCACCCTCACCCTACCACCCCGTGGAATGGCAGGTGACCAGGGAGGCAGAGAGCATGCATCTGTGTGCTGTATTTCATTTCTTTCTGGTCCTTTTTCTATGGATATAAACACATTTCTTTGATGTTATATTTTAGAAAAATGGAATCCTTTTATAAGTACTGTTTTGAGACCTGATTTTGTCAATTGCTGAGATGCCAGAAAGGATTTTGTTTTAATGAATAAATAGACTCCTTAACTTCTTTCACTGGCTGTTAGTATGTCTCCTCAGCTAACTCAGCCTGCGCTGGAGCTGGCCTTGCCGGGTTAGAGGTGCCACAGGCCTTCTGGCTGGAGTTCCTCTTCGCAATTCTGGTGTGGCCTGAGCCATATTTGTTTGCACAAAGGAGGAGATTGGTTTTAGAGGCAGTCAGGAAGGGTATCACTGAGGGTGGCTTGCTTCTCTGTGTGTGGGGTTGTGAGCAAGCCTGGGTTTCCAGCACCCCAGCTGCAGGGTGATGAAATGGGCACACCGTGGTGTTCTGATTTACCACTAGCCAGTCGTGAGGGACTATGGCCTGGCCCACATGGACTTGCCCCTGAGGCCTTCATAGGTATCACAGGGTGCATGAGCCCGTCCATTATTGGCACAACAGCTCTGGGCCCTCCTTGAAGCTGCCAGGCTGATTGATGTTGCAGGATCTAAAGAGGCCCATAGGGTCCCCATTTGGTTTTGTCCATGTGCTTCCTCGGGGAGGTGCCTGCTTAGTCTCTGGGACAGGGCCCTAGACCAGGAGAAAATGATACTTGGGCTTTGGGAGGGGAGGCAGCCTGCACTAGGGAGGGTGGCTTCTGGGGACTCCTGTGATTCTGCGCAGTCTCCAATGCATTTGCAAAGCCATTATCTGCTTCAAACCCTAGGTGGGAGATGGGGTGTGAGATCCGGGGTAGGAGCCAAGCAGATGGGAGCCCCGCACAGTACCATTGCTTCAGCTGGGTAAACGCACCAGAAGAGACCTCTTGGCTCAGCTCCATCCCTCTCCAGGAGGCACCCCCTGCCCTGGGCAGCAGATGCTGTCAAGACCCACCCTGTCCCTTCTGCCTCCCCAGTCTGGCCTTCTCCAACTGGCTCATCCACATCTCTGTGCCCGAGGGCTTTTCTAGAACATAGGAATGGGAACAGCCGCTCTGCCTACACCAGGAGCTCCCAGGAGTTGGTGCCTGACCCCCAGCTCCCTCACTCTTGGTAAGGTAATTCTGAGGGGTGGGTTGTGCATGGTTTCCCAGAGTTTCCTCTGTCAGATCATGCTCCATCTAGTTGCCCACCATGGGTAGCTGGCTTTGTAACCCAGCTTTCCTGATACCCTTCTCAGGCCCATTTTCCCTGTCCCCGGTAAGTGTCTCCTCCCAGATCAACCACTTGCATTTTAGTGCCTGCTTCAAGGTCTGTGTCTGGGTTCCCCAGACTAAAAGGCATGGCCTGTGGCCTCTAGAGGATAAGAGCAGCATCTTTTCTGTGTTCTCTAGTGCCCTTGTGCCCTTGCCTATGCCAGCATAATGTGACAGGCACTATGTATCCCTTGGTTCATTGACTCAGCTTCTCCTGCACCGCAGAAGGAAGATGTTTTCCCAGTGAAAGTGGGAGGGCTCAGGCTTAGAGAAAGTAGAGCTCCATAGCTGGTGAGAAATTTGGAAGCATTGGAGCTCAGGGCCCGGAATCCACCACCCTGGAGGCCCTGCCCTGCCCTGCCCCTGGTTTCAGCCCAGCACACCTTGCTGGGACCCTGCTGTGCACCAGGTGCTATATTGTAATAAAAAGGAAACAGAGCTCCAGAACCTGCCTTCCTGGTGGAGCGGAAGCAGACAGGCCTACACATAGCTGCAATTCAGGGCAGGGTGGGAAGGGCCCTTCACCCAGGCATTTACTCACCCTGCCTGGCACATGCCAGCCTGCCTTGGGGAGGTGAACTGAATAATGCCCATCTCCCCTGGGGACCTGGAAGCAATGCAAGAGCAGGGGGAGGAGGCCTGCCTTTCCTCTCCTCTGTATCCCCAGCACAGAGCCCATTGCCTGGCACGTGGAGGCACGAGGTGATCGGACTGAACAGCGATAAACACCATCACAGACCTGCTTGACATCGCAAAGCCCTAGCCACCCTAAGTTTCCTGTACATTAGAAAGCGCCGAGTACATGTGAGAAACAGGCCTGTGAGGTTCAGGGTTTCCCAGCCTAGATGACGGCACAGGAGAAAGAGTTCATCAAGGCTTGGTTGCTGGAGGATACAGCATTATTTTAAAAAGTGAATCAGCATTTATGGAGCACCTGGTGTTAAGCGGAATGTAATTGGGAGCCCTCAAACATGGGGCTGGTAATTGTGGCTGATGCTGCCTATCCTCAATAAAGAGAGAGTGACTCTTGGGGAGAGCAGCTGTTTAGTGCTGCTTGTGCCTTAAAGGGGCCTGGCCCAGCCTTTTAGCTCCCCTGTGGGAAATGTGCATGAGTCATCCTAATGGGTCCCGTTCGGGGAGAAATGATCCTTCACTTAGTGCGGGTTCCCGCGCCTCTGCAGCTGATCATTAAAAGGCACTGTGCTGGCCCGATCTCGTGCTCCTCCAGGCCTGAGCTCTTTCTCCCCTTTAACCTTGGCTTCTAGCACAGGAAGCACACACGAGAGAGAGGGTGCACTTGGTGACTCCCGGGCCTTGGCTGGGGCACAGAGGCCTGGCTTTGAAAGGTACCACATTGCACAGGAAAGGCCTTTGGCTCACAGGCGCTGCTGTTTTGCTTTTACATACTTTTCCTGTGAGCACACTGGAAGTTATTCTTACTGTACAGAGCCTTACGTTACCGTGAGAAAGCCTCACGGGCATTCCTGATCCTTCCTTGGGAAGGGGGTGGGGGACCAACAGGCTGTGCCTATCAGAAGCAGAAAAATGCCTCGAATTAAGCTGTCTAAAACCAGTTTGGGAGGCACTCTGTAAATATGTAGTTCAACAGATGACATAGGTCCTCTCCTGGTTGGGATTTGATGGGAGTCTAGTTCTGTCACCCGCTCAGGAGTGTTCTGCTGTGTCATTTGTTACTTGGAGCCTCTGGTGGCTCCTCATCAACATGGGGAGGGGGATAGTCTGGATTTCTGATGTCCAGGTGACCCTGGGCAAGACCCAGACTCTGCAGGCTGGATGGTGTGTTGAGCTGATGGTGATCACACCTGACACTGAGCACTTGCTGTGCACCACCCTGTTCCGAATACACCATGTGCGTTGGCTCAGGTAGGCCTTGCCCCATCCTCATTTCACAGATGAGGAGGGTGAGAGCAGAGGGCTAAATGATTTGTGGAACCATCCGGCACCTGTGACCCTGAGCTTAACTAGTACCTTCCCCTTACCCTTCCAGCCTTCAGCTCCGAAGGAGAAAGGAGAAGAAAATCTTGCTCTTACTCTTCGCGACCAGGGCTGGTCTGAGAGCTGGCTTAGTAACCAGCTTTCCTGATACCCTTCTCAGGCCCATTTTCCCTGTCCCTGGTAAGTGTCGCCTCAGGCCCCTAGGGGAGCACTCGTACCCCCTAGAGCAGGAAGCCTGAGAGGAAGGGCTGTCTGGCAAGGTGGACAGAGGTTGATGGAGTCTGCAGGAGAGCTGAGCAGAGCCAAGTAGGAGTTGAGGGGAGAATGAGGGGCGGCTAAGTCAGTGGCTCCATGGGGACCCAGCCTGGCCCGGAGCCCACCTCCCACAGAGAGCTGTCCACAGCGATGGGTGGTTGGTCCTTGTAAGGGGAGGTAGGGGGGTTCTTCTGTGAGGCAGTTGTGGTGATTATACTCTGACATTTTTAAAGATGATTTTAAGAGGAAAGTTAGTGGTATAGGCATTGAAGAAATCGTGTGGACCTGGGAGTTTGGAAACATGGGTTGGGTTACCTGGTCCTGGCATTAACTTTACTAAGTTCATCCCCACTCACAGCCTTCTGTCCCCAGTGGATAAATGGTTTTCAAACTATGCATGGTGTCACTTTCTTCAGTGGTGCATGTGTAAGATTCCCTTTGCAGAAATCATGCACACACAAGAGTTTGAGATCTAGCAGAATAGACCATCCCCCAGGGATCCTTTCAGTAGTGGCTGCAGACCCCTCCCCGGGTGTTTTTGTCCTCAGGAGGGATGTGCTGGATTTTCTATCCATAGTCCCTGGCTGAAAGCACTTAAGAAATTCTAGGATTGAGGTATTTCTGAGTTCAAAATAGAACCTCCCACTACTTGAGAGATGCTGAAAAGCCTGTCTCTACCACTTGAGGTTCTGGGGTAAACAGAGGGTGGAGCCAGGCTCTGTTCCCAGCAGCCTCCTACCCAGGACCCACAGCTCACTCTGAGGGGGTGAAGCTGGAAGACAGTGGGCTGTGTGTGTGTGTGACGGAGAGAGAGAGGCTGAGCAAGCAGGCTTGAGAGGAGCTGACAGAGGCTGGAATTTGGAATGTGTTTTTCCTAACAAGTCGGAGCCTGCAGGTGTCTAGGCAAGCAGCTGTGGCCGTGGGAGGGGCAGGACTGGAAAGACCAGTGGTGACCACTTTAACCCCCCACACTCCCAGCCTCCTGACATGTGGGGCAGGTCACTGTCAGGTCTGTAAAGGAGCATTTAGGACAGAACACCTTAGGTCAGTAGAAAAACGGATAGTGGCTGCTGGGAGACAGATTTCAGCTCAGTGTAGGGAAGACACTTTAGTGGTGATGGCCGTCCCAGAGGACTGTGTTGCCACATCATGAGCTCCCTGCCCCTGAAGGCATGTGGGCGGAGTACTTGGCAGGGGCCTTCATGATGCAAGAGGGGGCTTTGAACTTTGAGGCAAGCCAGATCTTAGAAGGTAGAAAGCAAACCAATCCTAAATGGAGTGGAAAACCAACCTCCCCACCGTCTGATTTCCAGCAGTTGCAGCTGAGTGCATGAATGTAGCTAATTAATCTTCCCTAAATTAATTTCCTTACCATGTCAGCAGTGATTTATTGGCGTGCCTATAAGGAGAGTTGGTCTATGATGATAGTCAAAGCTGAGGACAGGAAGAGGCGAGTAGGGGGCGCTTGTGTGTGTACCTGCATGGGTGTCCCATATCCCTGAGTGGTGTAACAGCCTGGTGCTGTGGACCCCTCAGGGCCCTGGATGCTGGCCATAGGCAAGTCACACTTCTGTCTCCCAGCACACAGGCGGAAGTGCCTCGAGAGTTATGAGAGGTTCTCCACCACTTTGCCAGGTGCCCCAACTAGGGCATGAATCTTACCCAAAGCAGGAAAGGGGGGAAAAAAGGGCATTCACAAACATTTTCCTTTTTGTGTTTGAGAAATAGGACAGCTGTTGTCATGCATAATTGTACCCATTTTCCCTGGTAATCACCGGGGCCTTGGCGGGGGTTTCTTTTCACGTCTTTGTCCTGTCTTCCCTACCAGATTTTCATCTTCTCGTGGGCAGAGACCCTGCCTGAAAGTGCTTTTGCCCCTCACCGCACTTACCTTCATCCTGGAGGTGCCATCTGCTCTGTAACAAGGACACGGCCTTTTCTTTATAAATTACTGACACATCCTTGGATCATCTGATTATTTGCTCCTTACAACGTTTATGTGAAGCTGAGAAGGCAAACCACCCTGCTCCACTTCACAGGTGACCTGCCGAAACTCAGAGAAAACAGGTTGCACGGAGTTACCCAGCAAGGGTGTAGCAGAACCAGTTCCAGAGCTCCACTTGCCTGGACTGTCCCTGCCTGGCGGCATCCTTTCTGCACTGCCAGCTGCCTTTCTGTATATTTACATAGCCTCGGGCAGCTGCTGCAGCCCAGCTGCCACCGGTCAGCCTTGGGACTTTGGAAATGCTGCCTGCCTCCGCCATGGCAGGGGTTCTGCAACCCACTTAGCCAGTCCTTAAAGCCAGGGCTCTGCTTGGGGCAGCTCAGACCTCTACGTCCAAGTTGAGTCTGGGCTTTGCACTGTATGTGCACTAGAAAGATACTGAGTGTGGCATCCAGCCAGCTGACCTTCCCCCCAAAGCAGAAGCCCATCTTAGAGCCTCTGTTTGGACACCCCACGCAGCAGGAGCTCCCTTTCCCAGGCAGCGTGTTCCTTTACTGGCTGTCGATGTCTTTCCTGAATCACCTGGCTTGTGTCTGTATGGCTTCTGGGTCTGCACAGAACATCTGTCCACTACCGCTTCTCTGAGCGGCCTCATCATTATTTGAAGCCCTCTCCAGACCCCCAAATCTCTGTTTCTGTAATGTCATCTTTGTTGGCATGGCAACAGAGCCTCCTTCCTGTGGACATCAGGCCCGCTAGGGCCTGTGTTATGGGGGGGTCCCAAAGGAGGACTGGGACTTCAGGCCTCGGAGCGGGGACAGAGGCACTTGTGCTGCTGCTGCCGCCTCACGTCCCCAAATGCTATTTGCTCACCTTCAAGGAGCCCTCCTGACCCTCAGAGCTGGGGAGAGGGCCAGGGCTCCCGGCAAGCCAAGACAAAGAGCCCCAGGCCATCATTCTCTCAGAGTGACCCTCTCACAGTCAATGACAGGCCTGTGTCACACACCAAACCGCATTTTTAGCCAGGTGAATAATGAGTGTTGAATTACGATGCAGTCGACGCGTCGCATCTGTGCACCTGCTGCCTTGCTAAGGTAAAGGAGAGAGTGTCTTGTTTTCACTGTTCATTACTGTGGCCCTAGACAGGGGGGCTTGCTTCATGACCTTCCTATGATGTGCTCAACAACACTCTGTGGGTGTATGTAATGTGATGAGGGGAGGCACAACTTCATCAATGATCATATTCTCTAAGAGATTAGTGGCCCCCAAACTGTTAAGGAAATTAATGTATAGTCTTAAAGGTGAATCAGTGAGAAAATGGTCTGACTGGGAGCATTGAGAACATTCTCAAGTGCATTCATATGCGGTTTGCTTTGGCATAGAGCAGAAGTCAAGGGCCTGGCAAGAATCAGGGGCCTTGTGGGGTGCTGCCCCCTCACTTTCCGGGGAGAGGAGAGCAGCACAGAGACCCTTCAGCCAGCAAGACACTCTCTCCTTTGCCTTAGCAGGGTGGCGGATGTGCAGATGCGACGTGCTGACTGCATCATAATTCAACACTCATTATTCACCTGTCTAAAAATGCAGTGTGGTGTGTGACACAGGCCTGTGCTGTCCCACAGACAGCAGGGCACATGAAGGTGACCATGGGGCAATAGGGACAGTGTGGGCCACTCGATCCTGGAAGACAGCAGCCAGTCTGCCTCTCTCATCATTCTTTTTTTTTTTTTCTTTTGAGACAGAGTCTCGCTGTGTCACCCAGGCTGGAGTGCAGTGGCACGATCTCAGCTAACTGCAACCTCCGCCTCCTGGGTTCAAGCAATTCTTCTGCCTCAGCTTCCCAAGTAGCTGGGACTGCAGGCATGCACCACCACGCCCAGCTAATTTTTGTATTTTTTAATAGAGACAGAGTTTCACTATATGTTGGATAGGCTTGGTCTTGAACTCAGGGTTATCTGACCTCAGGTTATCTGCCCACCTCGGCCTCCCAAAGTGCTGGGACTACAGGTGTGAGCCACCGTGCCCAGCCTCATCATTCTTTTTTATTTTATTTTTATTTTTTGAGACAGAGTTTCGCTCTTACTGCCCAGGCTGGAGTGCAATGGCGCGATCTCGGCTCACCACAACCTCCACCTCCCGGGTTCAAGTGATTCTCCTGCCTCAGCCTCCCAAGTAGCTGGGATTACAGGCATGCACCACCAGGCCCAGCTAATTTTTTTGTGTTTTTAGGAGAGACTGGGTTTCTCCACGTTGGTCGGGCTGGTCTCGAACTGCTGACCTCAGGTAATCCGCCCGCCTCGGCCTCCCAAAATGCTGGGATTACAGATGTGAGCCACTAAGCCCGGACATGCCTCATCATTCTTTTTAGCAGGTTTGAGCAATTTCAGCAGAGATTCCCTTTGCATTTCTGCAGTGGCTCCTCTTCTGAAGTGCCACCAGCCCTTCCTGTAGCCGGGTGATCTTCCTAGAACGAGTTTGCTGAGAGTAAATTGGCCTTGGCCTGAAAGCTGCTGTGGGTTTCAAACAGAAAGCCTTGCCTTGCAAGATCCTCGGGGCTAGGATCCCTGTTGGGCCACCCCCCCACCCCGTCACTTTCAGGGTGGTGACAGGGCAGAAGTCTTTTTTTAAATTTATTTAAATTTTTATTTTCATAGGTTATTGGAGAACAGGTGGTGTTTGGTTACATGACTAAGTTCTTTAGTGGTGATTTGTGAGATTTTGGTAGCCCTCTCCCCCTGCACAGGCCGAATTGCTCAATCTGGAGCCAGCCCACATGATTGCAGAGGGGTTACCATTTCCTCCATGTCTTAGATCCTGGAGATGGCACGTCGGGTCCTCTTTTTCTCCAGTTGACCACCAGGGAAGAAAACAAAAGAGCTGCATGTTAGCACAAACTTCTTGCTTCACTTCAACGAACAGGGCTGAGCAATACCTGGGAAAAGTACAATTCCAGAGTAATATCTGGAGGCTTGTCTCTAGACTGGTGGGGAAGGGTGCTGGCTCTAGCTTATTGTTTCCCAAGCTTTCCTGATAAGGATCACCTGGCTTGCTTGTTAAAATACAGATTATTGGGGCTAGGAATCTGTTTCCTTAACAAGCGTTCCAAGCCATTCCTGTCTTCAGGCAAGTTTGGGAAACATTCTGTCTACTGTACCAAAAATAGCCTGTGGAAGAGGAGTGCTTTTAAGCAAGTTTAGTTTTGCACATAGTACATGAATAGGTTCTCCTTGTTTGAAAATGTTTTAACATTGCAGAGAAGGTCTCTTTTGACTTCCCCTAAGCACCCCATTCCAAGTCCTTCCCTCCTTCCCAAAGAGGGGTCAGTTTGGAGTGTGCATCTCCCAGACCCTTTCTTTAACTTAATAGAGATACAGGTTTCTGTTTTGTTTTTCATTAAGTAGGTATGATGTTGTAGTTATCATTCTACAGCTTGCTTGCTTTCCATTCAGAGCTATGTCATGGAGTGCTGTGCCAGCTCACACAGAGCAACTGCTTTTTTTAAATTTTTTTTTTCAGCCTGCTGCATAATGTTACATCGTATGGAACTAGCACAGTTTATTTAGCGATTCCTCTATTGATGGATGCAGTAGTTTCGGGTGGTTTCTCATGATTACTTCAGGCAGCATCCTTCCCATGGACCCTTATGCACATTTGGGAATAAATACTGAGAAGTAAAATTGCTGGGTCAAACTTGGCGCATTTGGGGATTTTAATGGATTCTGCCCAAAGTTACCCTTGTAAGTGTCTCCACCCAAGTGCATTTCCACTGAAAGCATGTGGAGAGGACCCAATTCTGCTCACAAGTGCAGCTGTCCCACAAAAGCAACTAAAACTCTGACCAGTCCATAGGGAAGTGTGGCCAAGGGGCAACACCCACCTTCCTCTAGTCCTTTCCTTTGGGATGAACAGCTGCAGACTACTTCCTATCACAAAGTGAAGTTTCTAAGATAAAAACACAGGGGCCCCAGCAGTGTGCGTTCCAGAGAGGAGGCATGGAGAGGCCATCCCCAGGCCACTGCTGGTTTGCTAGGTGACTGACAACGCCCTGCAGTGGGCCCTGTGGAAAACAAGGGGAGGTCAGAGCAGGTCTCCAGGAGGACAAACCTGTGGAAGCCCTGTAGGGGCTTTGGGCTGACCTGGGGTCTGTAGTTTTGTCTGAAAGCAAGAAAGGTGCTTGCCTGGGGTTTAGCACTCATCCCAAGAGGCCGAGCAAACAAAAGATGACGTGGCTCACTGACTAAGCAGCCGCACTCTACAGCCTTTTTTTCTGCTACTGCTCAGCTCTGCCTCTGTGGCTGCCAGGTCTCTGCCAATCTGAGACTAAAAGGAAAGCTTCTTGTGGACCCAGGTGGCCTGGCCTGCAGAGGAGTCCCGGCTGGCTCCCTTTTGGTTGAATTGTTCAATTAGATATACAGGAGTTGTCCACTAACTGGGAAGTTTTAAAGCAAAGCAAAAGCAATCCCGTCAGAAATCCAATCTCACATCTGGAGAAAACTCATTCTCTTTCTTTTAGCTCAAAAAAGCAGCACGCTTCACACAAACCTTCTGCATGGCCATCTGGACTGGCGGTGAGCCCCAGGCAGCTTGGACAGTGGTCACACTGCCCAGTCCTGATGGCTGGGGCCCATGGTACTTCACAGGGCACTCTGGTTGACTGCCTGCTCAACTCTCCTAACACCTGGTTGAATTTTTATTCCCAAAACTAGGACATCATTTTGCAAAAGATCAGACAGTTCAGTGTAGTGTTTGCAAAGTTTCAGGTTGCTCAAACCTCAAATTTCTTTCCCTCCACCAACCTCACTTTGAAGTTCAAAAGCAAATTGATTAAATATACATTTTAGGAACTTTCCAATTTGCTTCTTAAACTAACAGAATTCTAGACTTTTTTTTTTTTTTCAATGGAAGGATTTTCAACTGTCAGCAGGTATAACTGGAACCATATGTCAGCAGAGACCAGGGGCTTTTCCTGGTTTTAGGATTTGTACATTCTTACTGAAACGGAAGTAAGTGGAGCAGGCAGCCGCAGCTCCATGACAGCCTGAGCTCAGATCTCATTTTAATTAGAAAATATAGGTAGCACTTGCTGAATCACAGTCCTTCCAGAACTCCTGTCCCAGGGCAAACAAAGATTTGGTTTATATCCTGCAAACCTCTGTGTTTGCAAATTACAGAGCACTTCTGAGAGCTGGAATGGCGATTTCTAGATTACTATGGAGACTGCAACCCAACTGCCTCTCCCACCCCGCCAGCAAATCCCCCCAAATGATTTTGTTTTCCAGGGGAGACATTTTTTCCCTTCCTTATTGCAAAATAGATGGAGCATGTTCATGTTGAAGAGAGACAGTGAGGAAATCTGGGACAAGAGAAATAAGATTAGATGTCATCCACAGCAGCAACTCATTTTCTCCATTTGGATGTCTGGCCCCTTGAACTCTGAGACACAAAACCCTGCACCTGACCAGCATCTGAACTGTTCCGTTTGACAGCAGTTTATGTGTATAATTTTCTCCCTAATGTATTCTGCAAATGGTAGAGTAGAAATAGCAAATGAAAGACATTGCAAGGCCTAGCTCTCTCCCACCCCTTCTTTCCCTGGCCTGGTGTCATTTGAGCTCAGTGAGTCTCAAGAAAGGCTGCCATTACAATGTCAGCATCTGGAAGCCACCCCTACTGGGTCCCCACTGGGACTCAGAGCCTGAGCCACAGCCACGGAGAAAGTGGTGGAGTAGCGGCAGCGGGAGCCATAGATGCTCCAGTGCTGGGCACTCTGGGCTTCGGTCTTCACTGATGAGCTTCTCTTGTTTGGGGAGCAGTGACCGCTGTGTGCTAAACCTCCCGTTGGCCTCCAGCCACTTGCCAGGGACAGAGCTGCCGCCTGCTGTCCCTTTCCGGGCATCACATTCCTGGCAGCTGGCGGTCACTTGCTCACCCTGCCAGGACGGCTGCCACAAGCTGCCATTTACCAGGCAGACAAAGGGGGATTTTCCCTTCCCCTGAGTTTGCAGGCCCCTCAAATGCCTTACATTCCAGGAGCTGAGAGAACAGGCTCCTGTGGTTTCTAATTAAACCCACAATTTAAATAACAATTCATGTAACCCCAAGGGTTGAGAGGAACGCTAACCTGCCCCCTCCCAAGAGAAGCAGCCGGGTGGCACTGGCTGAGGAGCTGAGGGCTTGGTCTTTGCCAGAAATGTGACCAAAAAGGGCAAGAGGGAAGTCCCAGGACAAGTTTATGATGAAGCGGGGCTAAGCAGGAGGGGCGTGGATTCGGTGGGTTCTGTGCCTCTCCTAAAGGTTAGGAAGTAAAAAGAGGGAGGAACACTTGCCATGTTTAATTGGAGCCTGCAATCGAGAATTTTTACTCTTCTCCAGGGAAAACGTGGAACGGTGGTCTCTGAAGTGTTAGAATCCCAGATACTCAGGTTCTCATGGGAGTGCCCCCCACCCCCAGGTGACTCACTCTTTGTCTGTGAGTTGGAGAATTTTTCTCTGGGGAGAAGAGGCAGGGGCTGTGTTCTGGACTACAGACAAGTGGGGAGCTCAGGCAGGGCCCTGGGAGGCAGAAGATCTGGCCAAGCCTCTGCTCACACTGGACCTCAGTTTACCCATGTGTTGTCGAGGGGTCTTTGGGTTTGTTGCTTTCAGGTCCTTACTGGCCCTGGCTGTCTGTCGATCCTTGAGCTGCTTTTGTGTTTTTATTTGGTCTGTCTGGGGCCACAGTGATCTTTGTATGTAGTTGATCTCACCAAATTGTTGTCTGATGACCCAAGGCGTGGTTATGTTCCAGGTCTGGGGAAATGGAACGCCGAGCTAATTATCTCTAGACAAACTCTTCTGTGCCTCAGCCAGCACCAGGAGCATGTCAGCATTTCTAGGCTTTCTGTGATCTCGTTTCCAACTTTTCCTCCACTTCCATTCCATTAAACCGAGCAACTCACATTCCCTGAGGATGCCCTCCAGGTTCTCGCCTCCATGCTTAGTGTGCATTGTTACCTTCACCAGATGCCCTTCTGTTCTCACCTCACTGTGCCTGGAGCCAGCCAGGCATGCACGAGCTCAGAGGGCTCTTCATCGCAGTGGAGCCCTGCCAGTATGGGTCCCATTCGTTACCCCTGTGAGATGTGGAGCTCCCTGAGTCCGGGCGCCGGCTTTAGTTCCTGCCTCCCCTGCCTCTCCTTGCTCATCTAGCTGAGGCCCAAAGCCTAGCTGTGAAGAGATGTGAAACAAAAAAGCCAAAGGTGGACTCACACCTGCCATCTTCCTCCCTGCAGGTGACCATAGCCGATGACTACTCAGATCCCTTTGATGCCAAGAATGATCTCAAGAGCAAAGCAGGAAAGGGGGAGAGTGCTGGCTACATGGAGCCCTATGAGGCACAGAGGATCATGACAGGTAAGTGGAGCTGAAGCGCAGGGGCTCACAGCTGGGGTTGTAGGGGTAGAAAGGGAGTGAGGGCACTGCCGGGTGGTCCCCAACCAGCCTCACTGGGGGCATGGTGTGTGCTTTCAAGTTGGTAGGTGGGAGCAATGCTGTATTAAGTCTTCCCCACAGTTTACCTGCTTATGTTTCACCTATATTAGGAAAAAAACTGGCCGGGCACCATGAGAGTCCAAATACAAGGATATCACGTGCAGTTAACCAAAGGTAGGGGCCAAGAAGTAAGTGGGGAGAGGAGGGAGAAAAAGTAGTTCTATCAGAAATTTCTGAGTGAAGAAAGATAGCATTTGAGACATAAAACTTTACTTAGAGCTTCGTAGTAGGCAGGGCAAAAAGGGAAGCAGGCTGGGTCACCTGGCTTTCGTTGCTTAGTAGAAGAGAGCTGGCCAGATTACTAGTAGAGACAAAATTATTTCTGGCCGCATCCCGAGAAATCTTTGTTTTGGAGCTGGAAGCAGCATAAATAACCCTGGTCTACATGACAGGTTTACAGGAAGCATGGAGACATTCCCCCAGTGGCTGTTTTCCTGTTGGCCCTTGATGACAAAACCTTGTCAAAGCAATTGTGTGGAGTCAAGAAGAATGTGGCTGGGTATGCAGCATCCTGGGGGCCTATTTTAGCCAGGATAATACAAGACTTGGAGCATCTTTAAGAAGTGAAGGGTTAGCAGACATCAGTCATCTTGTAGGCAGGATTAGGGGGAGGTCACAAGCAAAAGGGAAACCCCTGTTGTGGCTTCTCCTGGTTCAAGAGGGCAGGCCAGACACTGAAGAGCAGCTGTGTAGGCTGCCCCTGTGACCCCACACAGGCAGTGCCATGGGCAGGGGCACATCAGCACATTGTGCTGCAGGGTGCAGGAGAGTGGCTGGGAGCAAGTTTGGGGCTGCCTGGGCTTTGGAGGCCTATCAAATTGGTACCCTGTGTATCTGGACACTTGGGATACAGATACCTCTTTCTGTGGCCCTCTTATTGTTTGTCTGGTTTTTGTTTGGTTTTTTGCATTCCTGTCTTTGAGCACCTTCTCCTGATTCCTTCTTGAATTAGGAGAAAGAAGGGAGAGGAAGCGGCATTTACTGAGCACTGAGCGTGTGCCGGGTCCATGTCCAGCGTCAGCTTATAGGGCTGTGTAGCCGTGCAGGTTGATTGTTGAAGGATCTGGGTGCACCTTCTAGGCTCTGCCTTTGCTGTTCTCTGCCTCCTGCTCCTCCTGTTCATGGAAGGAGATTCTCTGACCACCAGTGTGGCCTCCAGAACACTTAGCCACTTCGTGAGGGCCAGGGCAGAGAGCAGTGGACCAGAGGGACTTAGGTCCAGACTTCTGGAGCATCCCTCTCATGCCCACTCCCATCTTTCTAATCTCCTCTGGCAAAGCAGCCTCAGTGGGCAACAAGAGGCCAAGAGTTGAGCTTGTGTTTGGATCTGGGGTCCTGAGGGAAGGCAGCCTGCTGTCCTCCAGTGGCTCAGGGAAGCAGGCTGGCTGGGGGAGTCCTCACCACAGATGTGATGCATGCCTGGGCCCTGCGACAACCACAGCCAGTGCATGCCCTCACCTCCATCAGGCTTGGTGAGACACCAGCTCTGTGGAAGCCCCAGGACCAGCTCCAGCCCTTGGGCTGTGGCCTGCGGCCTGCACCTCCCTACAGCTCTGTCAGTCTTGCATTCAGCAGGCGTTGGCTCCGGTTTAAAGGAGCAGTGGTTACAGGAGCGACTTTGGGTCATGTTCAGAATGTCAGGGTGGGGAGGGATCATTGAGGTCATCTAAACCTAACAGCCTCATTTTACAGATTGGGAAACTGAGGTTGGGGCGGGGGGGACAGAGACTTGCTTGAGGACGCACAGTGAATTGATGGCAGAGTACAAAGTATGGCCTGCGCTTTGCAAACTTTGGGGTGGGGTACTGAAGGAAGTGTAGTGTTTGCATCAGATGCTGGGGCACCTAGACATGAGGAAATGGCAGGAGCCCCTGCCAGGGACCAGACTCCATGCTGGGCACTTTGACATATACCCTCATTAAGCCTCATTATGTTTCTTCATCATGAGGCTGAGGGAAACTGAGAGGTTCGGCTCCTTTCCTGGAGTCGCACCAATAGAAGTAAGTGGCTTGCCCTGAGTGCAGAACATGGGACAGGGGCTGAGGTCCCATGGAGCCACAGGCAGGATGTTGTTACAGGAGTCCACACTCGGGAATGGAAGGGGGATGGGAGAGGGCATCTGCTGGGAGCCCCAGTCTCATGGAGGGTTTGCCCCTGCCTGGTGCCTTAGGAATGGAGCCGGAGTTCCCTACTGGGTGCTGCTGAAGACCTCAAAGGTGAGTAGTTGTTCACCTGGCTAGAAATTACCTGAGGAACTTCGGCTTTTTTTGAGACAGGGTCTTCCTCTGTTGCCCAGGCTGGAGTACAGTGGCATAATCTTGGCTCACTGCAACCTTCGCCTCCCAGGCTCAAGCAGTCCTCCTGCCTCAGCCTCCTGAGTAGTTGAGACCATAGGCACGTGCCACCGTGCCAGGCTAATTTTCTTGTAGTTTTAGTAGAGACGGGGTCTCACTGTGTCATCTAGGCTGGTCTGGACTGAAGCAATCCTCCCACCATGGCCTCCTAAAGTGCTAGGATTGCAGGCATGAGCCACTGCACCGACTTTGCCTTTTAAATGAGGGTACACCCCATGGGGTTAGGTCCAAGGCAGGGCAATTTGATTGAGGCAGTTTGATTTAGAACCTCTTAAAGACCTCATGCATTCTCTCTCCAAAGAAGCATTCTAGCATATGCTGCTCTGTGTTTGCATCCTAGCTTGGCAGCTGTGCCCTAGTTTACCCACAATTCTTATTTTTAAGAATATAGGTTATTAAAAGGGGTGTTTTCTGTTTGTAACGATCCTTGCTGAAGCTCCCTTTGACTCAAAATTATTTGTGTGTAATTCTTTGTGGCGTCACCCCAGTGATTGATGGCAGGGCTGCATATGGGTAGGATGAGCCATCAGTGCGTAGATGCTCCAGGAGGCTTGCAGAGCTGACGTGAAGCTTTTCGAAGGGGAGATGGTGGGGGAAGAGAGAGTGGTGCTGGTGATGGCAGTGGAGTGGGAGTGACATGGAAAAAGTTTAACCTTTTAGAATGATCCTTTTTGGATGATATTACATTTTATGTGTATGTGAGCGTGTAACTTGTAGTTACAGGGCATCATCTTGAATAAGTAAGCATAACGCTGACAAGAAGGCTGTGCCCTCCGTGTGCCGCAGGTGGCGTACCTGTACAGGAGGAGCGTGGGCTGGAGTCAAGCAGATATGGGATGGTCACTTGCCACCTGAATGACCCAGGGACCTCGGTTTTCCCCTGCAAAGCAGTAGCCTCAGAGCAGGCAGTCATTAGTGCTTCTAGCCGCTTTGGGCTGCTAACTGGCTGTGCGACGATGGGCAGCACGTTGTATGCCCCCATATTTACTTACATATGGAATGAGGGGCCGGTGATAACAACAACGGGGAGGCAGCTGGTAAGCTCTCTAGTACTTGCTTACAGCACTTGATGTCAGTTCTTAACTGGGTCCTCACCATTACCCTTTGGAGTATAGGCTGCCCACTTGACTAATGGAGAAACCAAGGCACAGAGAGGTTAAAAAACTAGCCCAAGACGTCCCAGCTGGTAAGTCAGTTGTGGGGCTGACTTCCTAGCCTGTTTGAACCATCATGTGGAGCATTCTTTCCAGGGCCTCTCCAGCCTTGGTGCACTGTAGTTTGGTTTTCAGATTCCCCAGCATAGCCGTCTTGGGCAGTGATTCACTGACGAGGCTTTGTCCTCTGTGTCCCTTGGCTCCATGCAGCAGGTGGTGGGGAGATTGGCCCAGCCCTGTGGACTACAGCTAGGATGGAAGGCGTGAGGAAGTGTGCCTGTTTCTCCCAGGGGCTCCTCTCACCCCTGCCCTCTAAATGCCTCAGCTTATCCTCTCCACAGGCTCCAGTTTGTGTCACCGGCAGGAGGTATGTTCTGCTTCCAAGATGGATGCTCAGCCCTTCACAAACCTCCGAGCCCAATTGTCTGGGCCTCACTTGCCATCCCCATCGCCTCTCTCACCCCAGCAGCATCTCTGGGGGTGTCTCCTTAAACCCTACAGCTCTATGGAACCTAGTTGGAGAACTAGTGACCTGGTCCAAGCTTTCTTTTTTATAGATAGGGAAACTGAGGCTCAAAGAAGTTATAATCCTTTTGAGATTTTTTTTAAAACCCACTGATTAAATGTGAAGCTGTCTTGTAAACCAGTGAACTGCCTATCCCCAGAGGTATCAGAGCAGAGGCAAGACAGCCAGCATTGGGCAGTGACATGAAAGGGAGTTGAGTCTCAGATGGGTGGCTGGCTCAAGCGACTTCTGAGGTCTGCATTAACCCTGAGCTCCCAGGATGCCATGTTTCACTGTGATCTGCGTTTTAAGCAGAGTGACTCACTAGTCACCCAGGACCAGCCCCACAAAGACAGCACCTGAGACCAACTGAATAGGAGGGATCTGGGTAGGGCTGGCAGCTTCCTTTCTCAGTGCTGGCCTGGCTAATTGTTCAGTCCTATTTCCCCTTTTCATCTTCCTTGACTCGTCTCTCAAGATCAAATTCTGGTCTTGGCCTTTTCTATGCCCTGCTGCCCATCTGGGCCTCAGTTTCCTTGTGTACAATTTAAAGAGAAAGTACCAGAGCGTTTCTGGGTTCCCTTCATGCCCCATCATCTCTGTATTTGGAATCCCCAGGCCAAGCCTCCTGTTGAGGCAGTGATCAGGCAGCTAGCTTCACAGCCCCTTCTTTCCCTCTTCCCCAGGTCTTGATCCCAGGCTTAAGGTCCCCGGATGCATGAAATCCTGCTGATGCAGCAGGAAGGGCGCTGGACACTGATCAGGCTGACTTGGGTGCCTGGATAGGTCAGGGTGCCTAGCCCACTGAGAGCCGTGGTGTCATGGTAAAATAGGGCCTGTGATCCTGATGCCCATGTGGAAAACAAACTTTGCACATGTGCATAAGATTGTTGTTATTAGAGGACAGAGGGCCTGTTTGTCCTTCCTGTGGAATGCTGTGCTGTTGAATTCTCTAGTTATTCCCTGTAGGATCACCTACCCACCTGGAAGTAGGTTGCACCCTTGCCAGTGCTGGAGCAGGTGGTCCCTGGGCCCTCTGCAGTGCGCTCGGTCATTGCAGGGGCTCCAGGCCGGGCTGTGTTGGAGACTACACCAAATAACCTGGGCAGATACCGCCACTGCCCTCCAGGAACATCCACAGAGCAGATAGGCATGGACCTGGAGTGGTCAGTGGTGGGTGCACTGAGATGAGCATGTGGCTCTCCAGGAGTTCAGAGGAGGGAACAAGGGCTTCCAATTTGGGTGATCCAAGTAGAGTGGGTTGTGGGAGGTGGCGGTGATGAGAACTGAGTCAGGCATCCCAGGCCGAGGGAAAAGCTTGAGAAAAGCATAGAGGTGGGCCCTTGTTGCTAGAGAGGAGTGGCTGGAGATGAGGCTTTTGATGGGATAATGATAGGAAAATCTCATGGGGCAAGAGCATGTAGAGACTGACTGGGATCTGGAAGCCCAAGTTAACCTAAAGGCACAGCGTGTTTTTGTGCCTGAGATCGTCTCTTCACTGGCCTTCAGCCCTAGGAATTCTCAGAGGTAACCAAGGAGTTATGGTGGCATGGATGACAGTCATTAGCTTTTGCAAAGGGCTTCCCTGTGTGCCAGGCACTGCTCCAAGTACTTTCCAGAGATTAGCTCACTTAATCCTCGCCTATGAGGTATAGGGATGTTCATCATCCCCATTTTACAGAGGAGAATACTGAGCCTCAGATTAAATAAGCAGCAGAAACAGAACCAAGATGCACCTTCTGGAGCCCTCGCTTACAACTAAAACACTCTCTCATCTGTCCTGTGTTCCCCAGAGTCTGAGGAATAATTGGAAAATTTAGTTACTTAGGCCGCCTTTTTAGATGTTACTAACCCTTCCTCTGGCATCCTTTATAAAACTGTTCAAAGTGTCATCTCACAGGATGAATCTTTAAGCATTAATTGAAAGCATTTTCACATAATTTTTAATATGTAAGCAATTACACATTAAAAAGTCCTTAGCATGTTTTTATTATTAAATCAACTTTATAGCCTAATAAGAGGAAATTAAAGTCATTTCACACAGAGCCCCCCTGCTTTGACGTGGCTGTTTTCCTTGCTTACAACTGGCCTTCTGCCCTTTTTAACTGTGTGCTAGTAGGCACCGTCCAGATGAAGCCAGTCACTGATTTTAAAGGCAAGAGGGGATTTTTTTTGTATTTTCTCATCCTCTGGTGTGGCCTCTTCTAGTGGCAACATGCTCTCTGGGAGAATCATGGGGTTTATCATGTTAAAGACGATGTTCCAATTGTGGCCTCTGTGTTTCAGGAGAAAGGAGGCAGGAAGTACAGGTTCTAGCCTTGGCTCTGCCCCTGGCTCTGCCCTTGGGCAGGTTGCTTCTCTTCTCTGGGCTTCAGTTCCCTCATCTCTAAAATCAGATTCTGCCTCCTTCACTGGGTGTCAAGAGGATTCTTAGAGGTCATGGGTCTGGAGTGACTTCATAAATCCTTTGGTTACCCGCCTCTGCGGTCACACTGGGCTTCTCCAGCTGCCCTTGTCAGGCCTGGTTCTAACAGTCCTGAGGGTCCTGCCCCACCCCCAGCCACCTCCATGTGGCATCAGCCTCAGCCCCTCCCAAAAGCATGCATGCTGCTGTCTCTGCTCTCAGGACAGACAGGACACCATTCTGGACAGCCAGCTCTAGAGGCCCTTCCTAGGGCTCCTGTTCTCTCATTCTGGAATGAACTCTCCCGGAGACCGGCAAATGCTTCTCAGAAAAAGGAGCCTGTGAGTCTTGCTTGGGTGTCAGAGAAGCTGCCTCTGGCCACCCTGCCTGAGACTTCAGCCTTCCTCTCATATTTGCCGTCAGCCCTGACCCCTGGTTCCAGGCAGCACTGTTCCCCTGAGCTGGGAAAGCAAAGGGCCTTCTGTCTGGGTCCTGAGTCCAGGCCATTCCCAGCCCCAGCTCTGTAGTGCCGTGGACTCTGCTCCCAGGATGTCCACACACTTGCCTCCCTGCACAGCTCTGCTCCCCAAAGCCTGTACCCTGAGCCCCCTCACTTCCTTCTGTCCTGCTGCCTCTCACCCTCTCCAGGCCTCAAGCTCCTCCCTGGCCTGCCCTCCCCACCAAGACACCACAGGCTTCAGCCTGTCCTGGTGGTCACAGCTCTCCCCCAGCTGGATCATGGCAGGATGGAACTGTCCTTGAGGAGCAGTGCTTCTGGCCCCATATAGGCTTCCTGCCCGAGGCCCAGAGAGGGTTGTGCACTAGCCAAGTTTACACAGCAGCAAGCCACAGGGCAAGTCTCCTGACTTCCATCCTGGAGCTCCTGGGCCTTATTTTGAAATGTTGTGAAATCTGTTGTCAATCCTCCTGCCTGGCAGGTAGCAGGCTTGGTCGTAGACTGTGCAGAGTTCCCTGGCTGGTCTGTCATTTGCCAGAATGACTTACCTACCGGACAGGAAGGAGATCATCAAGTGTAAATAGATTTCATATTAGTCACCTGATGACTTTCCTATTCTTAAGAAACAGCAGGGCTCACACACCCAGCCCAGTGGTGCTCACCCGCAGAGCTGTGGGCGGGGAGAGAAGTGGGAAGCCTGGGTTTCCATGGCGACCAGCGGGCCCACTCTAGGAGCCACTTCCTATTCTCTCACCCCGGCTCCCCTCTTGTCTTTGACCCCTGACACTGAGCACGTTCAGGTTTTCAGGAAAGTTGCAGCAGGCCTGGAATAGGCCAAGGAGAGCAGACAGTCATTGATAGCACCCCCGCTGTGGGCTGAGGGTCCTTGCCCTCCAGGTGCTCCTGTCACATGGGGAAGGTGGACAGGGGCCCAGAGAACACTTGATGTCTGTAGTATAAAACAAACTAAGAAAAATTACACTGGAGAGAGAAATCTGGTCTTGGAGAACACAGAAGAAGGAGTGGTACAGCCTCTGGGACCAAAGTGTGCTGCACAAAGAGGGCAGCATCCCAGCAAAGCCAAGCTTGAGGTCCTGACTCAAAATGACCTCCTCAGGGAGGCCTTCTGGCCACTTATCTTACATTTCCACCCCTCCCCCACCTCTCTGATGTTGTTCCTTAACACTTGTCATTATTTAGCATATTACATACTTTTTTTACATTTCCCTTGTTTGTTGTCTGTCTCACTGCTGAGATGTGGCCTTCACAAGGGCAGAGATATAGGTTTTGTTCCCTGTTAGAACCTGAAGTACCTGGTACAAAGTAGGTTGTCAGTAAACACTGGTTGAATGAATGAGTGCATTAATTCACTCCTGGGACCTGGGCTGGTCCACAGAGTCCTGGGTGCCCCTCAGGAGCCCAGGGACCTCCTATCCTCCTCCAAAGAATGCCAGATCTGGAAAGTCTGAGTTTAGCCACTTGCTAGGTGGGCAGGGAGGCTGCCTTGGCGTCAGGGTGGGAGTTGGGTGGGCGTTCTGACCAGTTCTGTCTCCGCAGCCGGCGGACTGCATAGGGATAGCTGATTCTGCCTCTTTTCCTTCCCTCTCTGGGCCGAGAGCTCCGTGAAGGAAGGGACTGGTCCTCACCCATCTTCATTTCTCTTCTGGGCCCAGTAAATATTCACCGATTGCATGAATGAGTATAGGAATGCAAGTCTGTATGGAGAAGAAAGAAAAGGAAACAAACAAATACTCACTATAAGCAGCCTCTCCCATTCTGCTGTGACTTGCTTGCTTGAAGTCACAGGGCCTGGGTCAGGGGAAAAATGCAGTGCATTCATTCATTGACTGGGTGGCTATTTGTGAGCACCTGCCATGTGCTGGCACCGTTCTATGCTCCCGGGTCTATGCATGAACAAAACAAAGTTGTTCTCATGGAGTTAACAGTTGAGTGAGGGACCAAGGTGGCAGTAGCCTACCCATGATTCCCCGAAACTCATTTACTAGATGCTGTGGCTCCGGGTTATCAAGGGCTGGAATTCAGGGGCTTTCTCAAAGTCAGGAGCTGAGTGGAGACTTGTCCCCAGGGCCAGGGCCACCTTCAGTAGGAAGGATGGTCTCAGTGCTGTCTTCTGGGGATAAGGGGGACAGCTGTGGCCCAGTGGCTGGCAGGTGTGTTCCTCTGTCCTTGGCCCCAGTAGAGGAGCACGGGCCCTGAGGGTTGCCATTGGTTTTCCCCGTGCTGCTGGCACTAAGCCTCATAGATGTGAGGGCCCAACAAACAGATTGCAGTCCTGCTGAGCGTTTGTCAGCGAGGGCTCAGGCCCCTCGGAACACATCCCTAACTCCTTGTCTTTCCTGGCAGCTGTGAGAGAAACGTGCATTTTACCCAAGGTAGAAATACAGGAATAGGAATGTGAAATGGAGGAGTTCACCTCCCCAGGCCTGCCTCAGCCTTGCATTTCAGAATCCCAGAGAGACATTAAAAGATCTGAAAGTGCAGAAACTGATGGAGATACCTGTCCTGAAATAGGCTCAGGGAGACTCAGATTAATCTGCAGCAAAGCTCCTGCATCCTGTACCCGCCCAGCTCCCTGCGTGCTGGGCAGGGTGTGGAAACCTTGCGGAAACCCACACTGCAGGGGTGTGGCACGATTAGGAAGTCATTTAGGAAAACAGGCCCGCCTGGGAGTGTGGGATGGAATCTTGCAGCGCCTAGCAAGAGGCAGGGAGACAGGTTCTATGGTTCCGAGGCTATAGCAATCATCTAGGCCAGGTCAGGTGCTGTGGAGTCAGGGTAGGTGTGGTGGAAGGGCCCACCAGCCAGTGGGTGCTGTGTGGAAGGGAGAGGAGAGGGTGGGATGACACCACCAGTGGGGTCCTCTGTTAGTGGGAGGATGGGAAAGTCAGTCACCTGATGGGGCCTGTCCTATCTGAGTAGGGAAGGGAGGTTCCTGGGGAGGAGTCAGAGTTGAGATGTGGTCACCTTTGAGGTGGGAGCAGCCAGCTAGGTGCTTGGGAGAGATTGAATGCATTCATGTGTTAGGGAAGGTGCTGGAGTCAGATCAGAGGAGGGCCCCAAACTATTCCAGGGACCTGGGGGCCACCATGAGAAGTCCTGGCCTGTGTTTCTGGTCTGGGGAGAGGAGTAGTATGCAGGGAGTGGCCAAGGAGACAGCCGGCCACAGTTCCTGCCTTTCAGAAGCCTGAAGGAGGAGATTCCGTGATTTGCCCCACACCCTATTATTTGACTAATTAATTAGTACTCTCCTCTAAGTAGGGCTCAGGCTGGCTTTCTGGAAACTTACAGAGATGACAGCAGTCTGTGTTTAAAGGGTACCTTTTATATATGATACCAGGACTCTCCCTAAGGCTCCGAGAGGAAGCAGATGAGATGATTTCCATTTTGCAGATGAGAAAGCTGAGTCCTGGTGGCTGACAGGACTTCTGGCCCCTTCTCCCTACAGGGATCACTGCCTGGTGATGCAAGGGAGGGATGCTGAGTAACAGCAGGTCTGAGTCCTCCCTTGGTGGCGGCAATGTAGCCGGTGCCTCAGGTTCAGTGCTCTTCCCCATCTCCTGGAGAGTCCTGCCTTCTCCCTTTCAGCCAGCTTGGCCCGTTTGCGTTCCTGTGGTTAGTGAGGGCTGGCTGTGGTCCTTTTCCAAAACAGGCAGCTGAGCAGAAGGAAATAAAATGCCACCTCTTCACTCTCCCTTTCAGGGTATAGGCGTGTAATTGTACCTGGCCACCTTAAAGCACCGAAAGAGGGGCCGTCTCCCAAGCCCAAGCCTCAACTTTTGGGCCTCTCTTTTCCTACTGCCCACGTCACCCCATTCTGTCCATATGCCGTCACAGCCCTCACCATGTCCACTGTGATGTATCTGCTAGACTGGGAACCCCTGGAGGGCAGGATGACAGGACAGGCCGGGGCCAGGGTGTCTTGTGCTCAGACTGTCGGTGCCCTGTGTTTGAGGTTTTGGCCTGGAACTTTCTGGTGAAGAATGTCCCCTCATCCAGAACTTGCTGGTTTTGGTGGAATGATGTGTGCACATGGTGAGTAAACATCCCCCACAAATCTCTCAGCTCCCAGAACTGGGTCTCATGCCTGCTGGGCCGGCTCACCTCTGCCCTGGCCAATGGGGCAGTGTGTATCCTGTCCCTGGCACCTCAGCTGATCTCTCACTTGCTGGCCTGTGGCCGTGTTCCTTCCCATCTGCTAAGCCTCGAGTCTCTGCGTGGACGCTGGCACATGCACTCATGTGCCCGTGCCCCCAGCCACACAGCCCTCCGTGAAGCTACCCTCTCTGGCAACTCCTCACCAGGTCGGGGGCCTTCCAAGTCTTCATGCTGCCCTAGTGGGCCTCTCTTGGCCCCTGGGTCCCCCTTCCCCACCCTCTGCCCCTCAGGCTGGGTTCTGGAGTCCTCAACTTCCTGAAGTGAATGGCCTTCATCATGCCTGCCTTCAGCTCTAGCCTCTTGCTGCCCAGTTCAGAACACCTCTGGCCTGGTCCCCCCACCTTTGCCAGCACAGCCCTGGGAGGGTGGGCTGGGGGGCGCCCACCTCCTCAGCAGATCTTTATTCACTCAGCTCCACCGCGGCCCTTCCCTTCCGAGTCCCACGCAGCCCCCAGCAGCTCAGGTTCACCTTCCCCAGAAGCCTCTGCATGCTTCAGGCTCCCGATCTGCTGCTTTCCCCAGGTGCCTGTGGCTCAAGGCAGAACCAGGCCAGCTGGCATTCAGTTTTCTGCTCAGGTGGTGTTTACTGAAGCCCTGTGCTCTCATGCCCTTCACAGCATCTCTCCTAAGCCTCCCTAAGGCCCAGGGAGGGAGCGCCTGGGTTGTTTCCATTTTCCAGTAAGAAACCTGGAGCAGAGGCTTCCGCAACAGCTGGGGGCCTGGGAGCACCTCCAGGAACCTGGGAGTTGTGTTCCAAAGCCCAGGCAGGAGCAGGGCAGGCAGTCAATGGGCCGGATGGACCCTGGGCTGAGGGAAGCACATGGGCCTGAGATAGATCCCCCGGGCCAGCTCCTGCCCTCCCCAGTAACAGAAGCAGAGGCCTGGAGCCAGGAGGCCCCCAGCAACAGCCTCACCACCCCACACAATTGGGAACCAGCCGGTGGGCGACAGCATCCTCCCTTCCTTGACCTCTTCTAGGATTTGCTTCCATTTCTGTGCTGTGTCCTTTACCTTACGGAGAACTGTTTCTGCTGAGTGAGTCTTTACTGGGGGAAGGGTTAGTGCTGAGCCACTGAGTGGCCTGCTCCAGTGGGCACTGAGGGACATAGTACAGTTGGGACAGTGTCAGAGCTATGTAAGATAGAGGAGGGGCAGCCCGGCCCCATGCTCCTGTCCTCCCCTTCAGGGTGAAGCTCTGGAGGGTCTTCGTGGAGAATCCATGGAAGCCCTGCTGTTCTGGGCACTGCAACGAGCACAGGGGCTGGGAGGTGGAGCCCACCTTGGCCCTCCCCTCAGGAGGGCTGTCCACTGGGATGTGGCTTATGACTGCTGTCATGTGTGGGTGTAGAACCCTGCCCTCGTGGGACGGGGAGCCGCGGGGAGGATGTGGCCCATTCTGCTTGGTTAGGGGTGGATGTTGGTTAGGACTGGGTGGGAAGGGTGGTGGAAGCGGTTGCAGCGAGGGGCATGGCCTAGCCCCAGGGTTCAAGGGTGGAGTTGGAAGGAAGTAGAGGCCTCAGCCTAGGACAGAACCCAAGGAGGTCCTGTGTTTAGCTGAAGGGGACTCAGAATTGTGAAAAGCACCCACCTGGGGCAGGTCCCTATGCCTTTGGCTCGCCCATCCCTGCCCCCTTCTCACTCTCATCCCCAGCACAGCCCAGGCTGCCATGCAAAGTGAGCTGTCCTCCAGCTGATCCTCAGAGGAAACTAGACAATATTTTTAATTATTGTCTAATTTACACCCAGAAATTAGGAGGAAGGGCTTGGTCCTTATTAATAGCCCAGCCTGTTTACCCCTAGACTTGAAACTAATTTTCATCTGGACCAAGATTTGTTGTAAATTCCCAAGGCTCCGTACTAATAAAAAGTTTCTGGCTGCCTTTTGGGCCCCAGCCCTATGCCCTGGGTCTGGCTCCCAAATTTGCAGAAATGTGTGATTTCTTGGGGTGAGACAGGGTGGATCTTAAAACTCACGGTCTCCACCCCAGGGAACTTGATGCAGGGTCCTGGAGTCTGCAGGATCTAGTACTGCAGTTAAAATTCACAGTCTGGTTTTAGCTCACTTTTTAACTGAACTGTATGTGATGCTGTTGGAAAAGCTTGAACTTGGGCATTAGAACCTTTCCCCTCTCTGGAAATCTTCTTTCACAGAGAGAGAATTTTAGAGCCAAGCTAGGTTGGGGGACTAGACAGATGGTGGTGGGGCTAGGGTGAGGAGGGTGTGGGAGGAGGGTTCTCACAACTGTCCCCTGAATGGTGGCCTGAGCTGAAGTCCTAGCCCAGGGCCCCTTCCAGTCACTAGGATGCCTTCTTATGTGTTTCACGTGGTTCGGTAGTGCTCTTTCAAAGCAAGGCCTCCTGCCCTGCCTTCCCCTGTAGGAACCCTGTCCAGGTCGGTCAGGGTTCCTGTCCTCTAGGTCCTCTGCAGGGAGTGATGGCTTTTCCACCTCTCTGTTTAAGCATTTAGGAGGAAAACTTCTTTGTTTCAGGACACGTATGGCTTTGTAGAAATTTCTAATTAATATTGTCAGATTGTTGGCATTTCTCTAATTTCTTCCAAGACTGTGGCCTTCAGTTATATGTGTGGGGTTATTGCTATCACCATTTATATTTATTTCTCCTTTTGCTGACTACTCACATCTCATTTCATCCTCAGAACAACCCTGGAGGCAGTCCTTGCTATCCTTTTTTTAAGATAGACAAACTGGAAAACCAGAGAATCGAAGTGACCCACCCAGGGTCAGCCAGCTGTAGTGCCAGGGCTTGAGCTAGGGTCTCTTTGCTATATCACATCAGTCCCTGTCCCCTTCCCCTCCCTTCCATTAAAAAGAGTCTGTGCTCAGAGCCAGGTCCTGTGAGGTGGGATCAGGGTGGATGAAAGTCACTCACCACCACTCGTGCTCTCTGGAGCTCATGGGGAGGATGCAGATGGCCTTTTCTCTTCTCTCCTGTTCATCTCCTTTGGGCTGTTATCTACAGAGGTCTCAGCGGGTAAGTGTGGGTGAACTGCCAAGCGCTCAAGTCATTGTTCTAACTCCATGGTAGACGCTGGGAGAGAACCTTTCTGCCAGCAAGGATGTGGCCTCCAAGGGAACTAACCCTAACCCTCTGTGGCCAGCCAGTCTCCTCCCACTCTAAGAGGCTGCTTGTGCCTCAGTGTCCCTGGCACCTGGTCTCACCATGCAGCGAGGCAGGACCGCAGAAGACCTAACTTGGAGAGTATCGAACCCAACCCGCCTGGACATGGCTTCCAGGTCAAAGCGTCCAAAGGGCTTGGCCTGGAGAAGCCATCCTTGTCTGAAGGACAGAACTGGCCAGGCTCTCCCCAGCCCACAAAGAGCCTTGCATGTCTTCCCATTCAGGGTGAGGAAAGGCATAATTGTGTCTGGACAGAGCCCTGGGTTTGACACTAGCCATGGAGCTGTAATTATCGTCCTTAATTACACGATGGTGCCTTTGCCAGGAAGGTGTGCTTGACGATTATCTCCTCTCCTGACAAGGGTGGTTCCGTCTCCCTTTGTAAGTACTGATGTAAACACACAGGCTCACTTGAGATTTCAGGATTACCAAAGAGCCATTCAGAGTTGCCTACCTAAGGACCCCTGCCTTTCAGAGGAGAAAGGGGCAAGCCAGGTATCAGCCATGCAAGTGCTTTCTTGCCTGCTGCTGAAAAAGAATGTCCATTTACCTCTGAGTTGACTTGGTCTCTGAAACCGAAAAAAAGAATTAACTTTTCCCTGATGCTTAAAATAAAGAAAAAAGGAAGAGCAAAAAGCCATGTAACAGTGCCCCATGCGTTTACATACCAAGCACATCCCTGCTGATTGGATTCTCACACCACCCTGGCGAGACAGGCAGGACACGTGGTGCTATCTCCATTGTATAGATGGTGAGATGAGGTCTCAGAGAGGCTAAGGGACTTTCCCGAAGTCACATAGGAAACCAGGACTAAAGCACTCTGCCAGCACCCTGACTAAAAGCCAGGCTTTGGCACCTGCAGGGCAGTATTTTGGTTCATTTTGTGAGATCCCTCAACCCCAACTGGCTCTGGGGCTCCTATGTGGCAAGTAAAGCCTCTCAGCCTTGAGGGGCTTCCGAGGGCCAAATGCCATGCACTTTATAGGACTGAATTGAGGAGCAGCCCCCAAAGACTTTGGAGGCCAAATCACACTGCATTTCCCAATGGACTGTACAGGTTAGCCCAGCGTTGCAGACAGAATCAGCCCACCCGGCCTCGGAACAGCGCCACCTGGGAATCAGCACACAGTGCAGAGGATGGGAGGCTCAGGAGAATGCCCCCGCCCCCTGGCTCTGCTCACCACATTGGGTCAAGGTGAAGGGCAGGCTGCCCTGAAGATCCATGAGTGCAGGGCCTTCCAGGGTCAGTTGGTACCATGGTCAACATGGGGAAACAAGGGCAAGGTCGTGGGCAGTGGTGAAAATGCGGATTCCTAGGCCCCATCCTGTAGAGGCCCTCACTGAAGCCCGAGAACTTGCACTGTAATACATGGCTCCATGGCTCTGGGACAGATGGTCCCATGGTTAGAGAGTCCCTGCTTTAGCAAAGAGCTTAGGCCTGGGGTCTCCTTCAGTTGTTCAAGCTGTGGTCTGGCCTGGCCTGGTCTGCCAGCAGCAGCAATTCTCGCTGACTTCTCGCTCCCTCTCTTTTCTCTCTCCACTGCCTGTGGGAGGGATGGACATCCGTTCTGTTGTCTCCTTGAAGCTACCTGTGCAAGTCCTGAGGACCCAGCCCTGGGCCTGTGGAAAGGAATGGAAACCACCCACTCAGGTGTGGTGCCCCAGCCTCGTGGCTCTTCTTGTCAGCCTTCACAAAGCTGTGATTCATACTGGAATCTTGTAAATCTCTGAATGGCCAAATAGAACAGGGCTGGGGGTAGAGGGCATGGGGTGACTAGTGGAGAGAGTCATGAGCTGGAGGCTGCAGGAGTGAATTGCAGCTCCTCCGACAGCCGGTTTGAGCTTGGACAAGGCATGCCTCAGTTTCTCCATCTCTGAAGTCAAGGCTTCAGCCAGATCCTAAGGTGACTTTAGTGCTAACCTGTCCTGGTAGTGGTGGCAGTCACACAAAGACACGCTGGATGCACACAGGGACACAATCTCCCAGAACACAGAAGCCTCCCACGTGCTGCTGGTGGTTGGGCTGCTGCCTCGGCTGCCTTTGTTTGTCCCCAGTCTCTGTCAGACCTCCACTCAGTATGCGGCGCTTGGTGTCTGCAGCTTCCACTCAGCACTCCAGAAACCTGTTTGTGAGCTCAAGTCACACTAGCCTCCCTAGGGGATATCTTTCCACAGAAGCCTACTTTCGAATTGGGCCTAATTGTAGCATATATACCTTTAAATAATTTTTTTTAGTGTATTTGAAACAGCTGTCATTTTGCATGTGCATCAGCTGAATAAAGTGGAGCAGCCATTTGAGCTCCTGGTCACCCCGAGTCTGCAGCAGGCTTCCTTCACCCCTTGCAGGAGAGAGACCTCAGGGAGGAGAGAAGCTAGGAGGTTTGAGAACAGAGTGAGATCAGCTCGCCTGCTAGTCTCAGCCTTTCACAGATCCCTCCTCACTGTCCCCTGATGAGTTTCCCAGGCCTGGCTAGATCATGTTACTTTCCTGCTCAGAGATCTCCACTGGGTTCCTCAGATCTGAGCCCAGACTTTCCAGGCCTTCCTCAAATCCCACACCCTATAGGGTTCCCAGGGTCCAGCAGCACCCCATCACCCACTTGCTTTCCTGTGTAAACGCTCACTGTCCTCCTCACTGAGGGGCTCCCCAGGGCTCTGTGATCCCGCAGGGACTTCCTCCCTCTTGTTCTGCCTTGCTCTTGAGTTCCTCCAGCAGCCTGGGCAGGGCCTGAGTGACTCACAGTGGGTTCCCCAGAGCCTAGCACAGAGCTTGGCTCTTGGGAAGAGCTGGTTGAAACTGGATGAAAAATGGGCCTTTCCTCTGCTTCCATCTCATCCTTGCCTTTGAAGTCAGTTTAATGGCTGCAAACATATTAATCATTTGGATTTCCTGTTTGTCCCTGAAAAATAAGCATTCAAAATAGGATTTCGAGGACAGGCAGGGCAGCTCACACCTGTAATCCTAGCACTTTGGGAGGCCGAGGAGGGTGCATAGCTTGAGCTCAAGAGTTTGAGGCTAACCTAGGCAACATGGTGAAACCCCGTCTCTACTAAAAATTCAAAAATTAGCTGGGCGTGGTGGCGTGTGCCTGTAGTCTCAGCTATTCGGGAGGCTGAGGCAGGAGGATTGCTTGAGCCCAGGAGGTGGAGGTTGCAGTGAACTGAGACCGTGCCACGGCACTCCAGCCTAGGTGACAGAGCCAGACCCTGTCTTTAAATAAATAAACAAAATAGGATTTTGAGACCATCAGAACATGTGCTTTCCTGGATTTGAAAACAGGCGATGCAGAGACCATGTATCTGGCCCTGAGGGTGGTGGGGGAGGTTGTGAGTCTCTGGGGCGCCTGCAGTTCTGGGAAGTTTACCGTTTATGGAGTCCTTGGTGGTCAGGAAGCCCAGGCCAGCAGGATAGCGGTCCAGCTCAGTACTGTGTTGGGGCCCTGGCCCTAGTGCTTCCCTCCCTCCTCCCTCCTCCCTCCAAGCTGCCTGCTCCCGGCCACTGGTGCCTTGGAATCGTAACTCAGAGCTCAGAGCAACAGGAATGCTGTAAATCCCCGTCGCGCTCCCCTTTACAAGCAGGCAGTTGGGCACGGCGGCACTTTACAAGAGAAAGCAGCTCCACCACAGCAGAATGCAGCAAGTGCCTGTCACACGGGCTGTCCTGCCACTGCCTCTGCTTGCTCGGTTGGACACAGTGGGTACCACAAGCCAGGAAGAAGCATCACTCTTGTTCATCCCCATCCCATCCCAGGGCCCTCTGCCCCTTAGCAGGGTCTCCTCCTGGGCCTCAGGCCCCCAGGGCCTTGTTGTCCTTTCTGCCACTTGCCCTTGTCACACAGTGAGAAGCTGCTGTCGCCCTGGACAGCTGTTGTTTGATAAGCTGGCCATCTGCCCTGGGGTGATGGAGCAGAGTGCCTCGGCCTCCGTGTCTCTGTGATGTGAGAGGTACAGGGTTCCAGTCCTGAGGTGGTGGAGCTGGACAGCCCAGAAGGCCAACCACAAAGATGAGATAACTTGGGGTAGCAGTACTTTAGGAGTTTTGCCCACTCTGCAGTCATTTTGTACCCTCCTGTGCCAGCTTCTACACTGGGCGTCCAGAGATTGACATAAATGAGATCCAAGCCCCAGTGGATGTGGACTCAGGTCTGACATGTCTTGGGCTTTACTTTGCGCTGTGGGGACCTCCACAGAGGTATTTCGATCACTCAGGTTCCAGGGGAAAAGGAGGCAGGAAAGGCTTCCAAGGAATTGGAGCTTGGCCTAAGTCTTAAAAGATGAGCAGGCCAGGAGGGAAGGGGCTGTCTAGGCAGCAGCCCAAGCTCAGACCTGGAGGAGAGGACTAGCTAGTGGCTCTGGGGACCCACCAGTGGTTTCGTAGGTGCTGAGCTGACACCTGAGTTGGGTCCTGAAGTTAACTCAGAGGTGGGTGTCATGTAGAGAAGAGGGAAAGGATGGCTTGCAAATGGAGATACAGCCTGTGGCCGGCATGGCTGCAGCTTCAAGAACTTACAGAGGGGAGACGTGGCTGCCAAGATGTTCGATGACTAGTTCATAAAGGGCTTTCTGAGCCCCCTAAGGGGCTTGGACTGTACCCACAGGACTATCTGGAGTTGTTGAACCTTCACCTGCTCCCACCCACCTCCTGCCTGTCAGCTTCCCATTTCCCTGACTCAGACTATTGAGCTCATTGAAATCCTCCTGACACCAGGCAGACACACAGATTGATCACATAGAGCCTCTGCTCTCAAACCTGGATCAAGCAAGAAAATTAGTCCAGGATAAGCCGGTAGATATGGAGAGTCACAGGGCAGTTAGAGCCAGCACTGGCAATGTCTTAAGGCCTTGGGTGATTAATTGACATGTGAATCAGACAGATAATTAGTGCTACATTGGGGTACCAAAGGGACAGAATTCTTCTCCAGGGTGATTAAGAGACTACAGTAGAAGGAGGGGAGATCTAGGCCCAACCTTGAATGCCTTTGGGTGTTGAATGAGGAGCTGAAAGAAAGGCCATTGCTGGGGAGGTGGGGACCAGCAGGCTCCAACCTTGGCCCAGAGCCAGCACATCAGTGGACACTCTGTGTCTGTCCAACATTAGGAGATGAGGAGCCAGTTGGTACTATAGAGATAAGGGCTTTAGACTCTCATCTAAGTGTTCATTGAATTACCAAATTTTTTTAAAGAACTGCTGCTTTATTTAGGCTCTGGGCTCCTATGTACATGATCACAGAATTCTGCACACGTACAGGCCTCAGGCCTGAGTTAAGGACCCTCCACCCAAGGGCTGGACAGGCTGCAAGGCTGTCCCAGCTATGTGCTATTTCTCCCTGTTGAGCAGGCTTCAACCATGAGTACCAGCTAAGCTCAGACTTTATGATCCAGGCGAGAAACAGGAAAGTTCATCCTGGGTGTGAGGGAAGGGGAGGGGTTCAGATGCTCCTGAAAGTGGAGTCGCTTCATGCAGCCTGTGGACAGATGGCCTGGTGGCTTCCTCAGCAGGCTGCCCTGTGTCCACTCCCACCTGCAGACCCTGGCTGACTACGGGCACACAGAATGGCTGCAGTCATTTCGGCTTGGACATTATTCAAAACCACCATTTCAGGTCATCCACCACATAGAAAAATCTCTACAAAGCACCCTGGTACATTTCATTTTAAACAGTGGGAGCTTTCTGGTGAACCCTGTAAGAGAAATTAGTTGCAAATTAAACCCCCAGGAAACAATGATTTGACCTATTGTATAGAATTGTTGGGTGTAAGCCAATTGGATGTTCAAAGACACCTGCCTAAGATGGTGATTTGGGTCTCAGAGCAACTGATTTTAAACCCCTCTGGCAAACGTAAGGGAGTGCCGTCAAGTGTCTTCAGAACAGTGACCTTCTCTGCAGAATAGATGAGAATGATGGGAATCAGCCAGCATGGAATGAGGCCCCTGCAGGTGTTGGGGGCTTTCTGGATAAGTTTGTCGAGCACCCTTGGTCTCATTGCTCCCTCTGCCCCCTAATATTCCTTCTGATATTAATATACATGACATTGACGGTGAGGAAAGCAAGCTAGGAAGGAGGCTCCCCGCTAGTGGAGGAGGAATGAGAGTGTAAGGACCTTTGGGGTGATGCAAGATTCAGTAGGGCCTCTGAGGTCCTGTGCTCCCCAGGCTTGGAGCACGCTGTGACCCAGGCTGGCCTGTGGAGGAGCATTTTTCCAGACTGACTGACAGTGGCCAGAGCTGGGAAAAGCAGGGCCTTCTCCCCATCAGCAGTGGGCAGGTGGCTGGAATATCAGGCCCAGAGGCCAGCAGGTATACACAGCAGAGGAGGGCTCGCGCTAAGAGGAGTTTAAAGATTCCTTGGGAGGGTGGGGTGGGACTTCCCCAGGAAAGTGTCCGCCTCTGTCTCACCAGGACAAGGATGAGTGGGATGAGCTGGAGCCTCAGCGGTCATGTGGCCTGTGGCTGGTGCCTCCCTCCGTCAGGGGACGTGAGTGAAATCTGAAGTGCGTGTCTGTGTGGTGGCAGCTGTAACGTGACAGCTGCCGCCCGCCTGCCCTTCCCCCAGCCTGTTCTCGAGTGAGGAAGCTTGTCTGGCAGCGCCAACTCAGCTGTCATCCCACATCAATTTTTGTAGGTTCCCAGCTAGTGGAAGAGTGCCAAATGCAAGCAGATGATATACTTAATGAAACACTCAGGAAGAACGTTTCAGTTCCAGATATTAAGGGTTTGTGTGTCATGTTGCTGAGCCCTGGAATCAGATCATGCCTTCTCAGCCTTGTCACAGAGTACAGGGCTCTTCCTTTTAGGGGTGAATGTAAAAAATATTTCACGGTGAGGTAGATGTTTATGCTATTGAAGGGCAGCATACATGACTGATATTATGAAAGAAAAAAAAACGAGAAGTCTTCCCCATGTGGACATAAACCGATTGACTGGTGAGTCATTTATACCAGATGTCAGCTAGAAGGAAGGTTGTGTGTCTGCGCACTCTATGTATATTCCTCATATGTAACATCTGCATGGGGTTTTATGGTTACAGGTCTCTTTTATATACCTTTTGTTTGGTTTTATTTTAAACAGCGCCATGAAATTGATATTAATATTCTCCCCACTCCACAACAGAGGTTGCCAAGTCTCTACTGGGGCAAATCGCTCCCCAGAGGGCATAGGCTGGTAGGCGGCAGAGCCAGGGTTTGAACCTAAGTCTCCCGAGTCCAGTTCCAAAATGAACTTACTGGTATTTGGAATTGCCAGTGTATTTCGTATGTGGAATCAAATGGGAAGTAATCAGTCATTTGAGTTACATTTGCATTTATTCTAACCTGATCAAGTTGGAATGAGGGATGGGACAGAAGAGAATAATATTTATATGCACGGTGCTCTTCATTGGTTACTCTTTCATATCTACTGACTTATTTGACTTTTGAGGAGCTGGAAGCAGAGAGAAGTTGGAGGATTTGCTGGGGTCACACAGCTTGGAGTGGCCAGCTGAGAGTCCATTCCAGATCTCATGGTCACTTTCTACTCTCTCACATTGCAGTGTTGCTATAACCATCTATAAAGTAACAAAGGGATAATATGAAAAAGGGTGATTCTGTAAGTAAATGAACCACTGAGGTCAATCAGCCGCCTATGGTTCCATTATTTTGCAGACAAGGAAGCTGCAAAGGAGACGGGGTGCTGTCTGGGGTCTCCCAGCAGCAGCTGGGGCCAGGCTTCTGACTCTAGCCATGTTCCACCCATTGCCGTCCTGGGTCTCAGCTTCAGGCAAGTCTTCACAGTCTAAGTTTTTTGTAGGTCTTTGAGCCAATAGACAGGAATGCTCTTGGAGTTGATCTCAGTTCTGTATCGTCAGCTTCCTATTTAGAAGAGAACCTTAAAATTCCAAAGTTCAGGTAACTCCTCCCTGCCAAGTGAGACTGTAAGCTCAGGCTTATATCAAAAATTCCGTATTTCTCAACGGTGAAGTCCACATTTACACTCCCAGTTATTTTTAGGTGGGAACTTTATATTTTCTTTTTTTTTTTAAGGGAGAATAAATTAACAAATATATGTTTAACTTACATTAACACAAACTCAATGTTTATGTTAACATAAAGAATAGGATTTCTTCATTGTAATTTCTTTTTATTATTATTATTATACTTTAAGTTCTAAGGTACTTGTGCACAACGTGCAGGTTTGTCACATATGTATACATGTGCCATGTTGGTGTGCTGCACCCATTAACCCATCGTTTACATTAGGTATATCTCCTAATGCTATCCCTCCCTGGGAACTTTATATTTTCTGTTTCATATCACATTGGCTTCCCTGCCTAACTGAGGTTATATTTTCTGTCTCACAATAGTGTTGGAGCAGCCTTATTTTTAGCTCAGTTCGTTTTTCTTCCTGTGACTTCCTTTTTCTTGTTTAACACACACACGCGCACACACATTCAAGTAGGCATCCGTTCCCATCGCACTCTCCCTGCCAGTTCTCATTCACTTGGTCACAAGACTTCATCCAAAAGGCAAGTGTTAAGCCTCATCTCATTCCAGGAAAAAAGGAAGAGGAAGAGCCTTCAGCAAACCTCAAGAATCTTCTTGTAACATAGGCTGCTGCTTGTCATTTTATTAAAATCTCTTCACCTGTCGCTCACCTCGCCTGCCGCTAACTCCTGGCTGAGACACTCTCATGTGCACAGCTGATAAGAAATGCTTTGGAGCTCCCTTGCAGAGAAACCTATTGACTGCTGTTGGGGGCATGTTCTCAGGAGCTTGGGTATCAGGCTCCTAGAGGGCCTAGAGTGTGAGACTGTGTGTGTGTGTGTGTGTTTGTGTGTGTGTGCATGCATATACGTATATGGTGCTCACCAGACCCTGTTTCTATCTCTGATACCTGTAGCATTTGATTCTGGTGGCAGGCACCCCATGGAGAGCACTTGCCTGTGGTCCTGTGGTTGATGATCCTTGTTGGTGCTGTCTAGTTCATTTACACCATGCTGTATGGTGGCAGGCCACCGGTGAGAATCCAGTCTAAAATGTTAGGAAACAGGCCAGGGGAACACGACTTACCCAGCCCCCTGCATGGGATAAAGTACGGGGCAGACCCCAGGCCCCTGCTCACCCCGAGTCTTCCTCAGAATCCTTCAGTGGCTCCCTGTTGCCCCTCCACTGAAGTGTAAGCCTCTTTAGCCTAGTGGTACTTGAGCAGGTGACACACTTACCTAGCCCCAAAGAAGACCACGTTTTTAGGCCATGAGCTTCTCTAAAGCTGGACCAGGTTTTTATTTATTTTTTATTTTTATTTTTTTGAGATGGAATTTCGCTCTTGTTGCCCAGGGTGGAATGCAATGGCGCGATCTCAGCTCACTGCAACCTCCGCCTCCTGGGTTGAAGTGATTCTCCTGCCTCAGCCTCCTGAGTAGCTGGGACTACAGGCGACCACCACCACACCTGGCTAATTTTTGTATTTTTAGTAGAGACGGGGTTTCACCATGTTGGCCAGGCTGGTCTCGAACTCCTGACCTCAGGTGACCCTCCCACCTCGGCCTCTCAAAGTGCTGGGATTACAGGTGTGAGCCACCGTGCCCGGCTGGACCAAGTTTTTATTGTTCAGTGTTTTCCCATAAAACAGCAACACAGGTGCTCCGGAGGGGAGGAGTGGAAGAATGAACTAGTGAAGTGATATGTTGTATCTGGACCTCCTCCTTTACCTACTCTAGCCACTAGTCACCAGAAGCATGTTTCTGGTGTGGGAGCCTGGGACCCCATGTTAATCTGTGGGAAAGAACCTGTCGTGGTGCTGCCTGTAACCCCTTCAGATCCCTCAGTGAGGCGTAGCCTCTTCTGACAGGGTGTCTGACCTCCTTCACTCCCAAGCACACCTTCCTTCACAGAGCACAGCCTGTGGGTTATCATCCATCTCAGTTTGGTTTTTGGTTCAGAGCTTTGCTGATCAAAATTGGGTGATGGGCATCACTTTGCCTTGTGACTTAGAGGGTATCAAGCTTCCAGGAGAGTGGGGCCCTTTGCAGTGAAACCATGGGTCCCAAAAAGTCATTAGGCCTGTCCTTGTAGCTGTGTTTTTAGGGAAATCTTTCATCATTTCCTGTGCTGAGACCATAACTATGGTTCTTTAATAATCGAGTACCTCTGTGGATGACCAGGGTCATGTTTGGGGGAATGTTATAATTAAAATGTACATCTTGGAGTTGAAAACCAATACATAATTTGTTCCAAACTTAATTTCCTAAACTTCAAAATGTATAAACATTACATGAAGTGAAAATTGTTTAGAAATACTCTTGAATGCAGAAGCCCATTTCACTGGAATATTAAGTAGAAGTTGATGGAATTCCATGACGCAGTGTCCCTGAAAGCGTGGAGCCCTGAGGAGAGCGTGCACAGACTCTGATCAGAGAAGCGGAGGTGGGAAATTCTAGCCCTGCCATACCAGCTCAGGTATCTGCCCTCTCAGTCTCAGCCTCAGTTTCCCCATCTGTCCTAGGGGTTAATGTAGAACTCCTGGCACTGTGCCTCGTTCCACATAGACCCTCAACAAGTGCTGTCACAGATATTGATAATATCAAACAGGAGAGTCTTCATGTGCCACATTTGCAACTTCCTTTTAAAATTTTAATTATCACATTAGGTAATATGTGCTCTGAGTAAGAAGATTCAGCATACAGGCTTATAGGAGGTAAAAAGTGAAATCTCCCTCCCGAGACAAGGATTGTTAATAATTTATGTATTCTTATAGCCCTTTTCCCATTTGCTTACAAAAATACACATCTGTGCGTATCTACAAACACAGTTTTCTACATTAATTCTATCCTGCCAAACATTATTCTTTGTCACAGATCTTGTCTGAGGTCATTTGTTCTATTGAACGATTCCGTGTGACTGTAGCGTGATGTGTTCAGTTGTTTTCCTGTTCATAGACTTGTAGGTTATTCCTAGTTTCTGGTCCCTTCATTCTGGGCTCCCTTCATTCTGTAGCAAAATTTGTGAGCAGTTGTTTCTGCCTGTGGGTCTGGATATTTCTGTAGAGTAGGTTTCTAAAAGTGGAACTTTAGGCCACAGGATATTTACCTCTGAAAAGGGCATTTCCAGTTTATACTCCTCCAACAGTCTATGAGTACAGTTCCCTTTTTAGAATACACAAATTTTTTTTTAAACATTTGTTTTCTGTGCTAAATTCTGAATTTGCAAAAGGCTGTGTGTTTATGTTATTCCATTTCACCAGTATTTGCTGAGCATCTGTGGAGCTGGGTTCTGCTGTGGGAATCACAGGGGATGTGTTAAGTGGATTCGACTGGAACTTGACCCCCAGAGGTGGGGTGGGGTGAGCCTGAGCACGCAAAGGGCTAGAAAATGGTAGAAGCCTCAAGGCTCCCAGGGTGGAGGAGAGATGACAGTGGGAGTATTGGATTCATCTCTGAGCCCCTGTACCACCTCCAACACCCTTGACAGTTTAGAGTACCTGGTGCTCTAAACTGAACAGAGGCTGAGACTTGAAGCTGGAGCAGCAGCATGTCAGCAGGGCACCTAGAGGGGACTCCATTGGAACAGACCACCAGGGGAGATGAGGCCATCTCTACTCAATCAAGGTGCCTCCAGTCTCGTGTTCTGGAAGTTGATGACATCTTTCACACAGTCTGGAACCTCTTAAGGACGGCTTTTCAGGGCCCTGAGCAGGGGCTATTCTCGTTTCTTCCAGCACAAAAATGTTGATTATCCAGATGTTTCCTTCCACATAATTCTTGGGATGGTTGTGTGGATGGTGTCATCTATAATAGCTATTGACAGGAAAGAGCTGCCTGAGAGGAATTTTGAATAGTGGCAACTTTCAGGTTCCTGGCTCTTGTGCATGGCATCCCACACACACCTTTTCCTTCCCCACTCCTCTTTAAAACAAAAGCGAAAACAGCAACAACAACAACACTTTAATAGGGTTTTATGTGCTGTAACACCAAGAAATACAAGAAGTGACGTTAGAGTTGGAAAGGCCATCAGGGTAGGAAGTGGAGACATAGTAACTGTGCCGACCGCTCACTCTGTGACTTTGGCAAGGCCCTTCAATTTTGAGTTTCCCGTTTCCCCACTTAAATGGAGTTGCCGGCTCTGTCTGCAATCAGGTGGTTACAAGAACCAAATAATGCAAAGGGTTTTGTGGACCTTGAAGTGCTATATGGAAGGAGGGAGTCTTGCTGTTAGTCCTTTTTGTTAAATTTTGGTTGACCCCTGGCAGGTGATCGCTCCTGGGCCAGGTAGGAAGTCCCACCAAGATCCTTGGGCTCATGGTGGCTTTGCTACTGTCAAGTCTCCTGAAGGAAGAATTGCAGGTCCTCTTAGGGAACTGCTATTTGGCTGCATGCCTCGTTCTTTGGGGTCAGGAGAAGGGGCAGACGGATCCCTCTGTATTGTGATAAAGATAATTCCTCATAGACTTGACTTTGAATTGATCCAGTCTTTGCAGGACCTTTGTTTCCTAAGAAGAGAAACAGACAAGCAGCTAGTCTAAGGACCACGTTCTGGACATGTGGGGAAAGGGCTGTCCATAGAGGCATGTATTAGGGTTCTCCAGAGAAACAGAGCCAATAAAATGTGTGTGTGAGAGAGAGTGTGTGTGTGTGTATGTGCATGTGCAGAGAGATTTATAAAAAAAAAAATGGATCATGTGATTATGAAAACTGCCAAGTCCCAAAATTTGTTGGTAAGTTAGTAAGCTGGAGACCCAGGAGAGCCAGTGGTTTAGTACCAGTCCAAGACTAAAGGCCTGGGAACCAGGAGAGTCAATGATGTAGTTCAAGTCTGAAGGCAGGAAAAAGGCTAATGCCCCAGCTCAAAGGCAGTCAGGCAGTAGAGTTCTCTCTGACTCGGGAGAAGGTCCACCTTTTTGTTCTATGCAGGCCTTCAACTGATTGGATGAGGCCCACCAACAAGGAGGGGTGTGCAATCTGCACTATTCAGTGTACTAATTTAAATGTTGATGTCATCCAGAAACACTCAGAATAATATTTGACGAACTATCTGGGCACCCCATAGGACAACCATGTTGACACATAAAAAGAACCATCCCAGGCAGGAAAGCACAGCTTTGTGTATGGAAGAGAAGCTTGTCGGTGGGCAGAGTTCTTGTTGCATGTAGTGGTCGGATTTTGGAGGCATTTGCTGGAAGGTGGTCAGGATGCCAGGTCAGCGTCCAACATGCTAGTAGGATGGGTGCTCTTGACAGGTCCCCTTCCACCTTAACTTGATGGAGCCACAGCATTAGCAAGTTACAAGAAGAAGCCGGTGTGAATATCCACTCTTTGTAGAAGCAGACTGAGAAACTCTGGAGTCAGAAAGGCCTCTGAGATCATCTGGTTCAACCCCTCTCACCTCATCTGCGAGGAATATTAGCCCTGATGGATCAGGCAGCTGGCCAAGGTCACACAGCTGGTGAGCGGGGAGCCAGGCTGGTCCCAGGCTGGCAGCCTCGTCATTGTTATCCAGAAGGCAAAGGTTGTCTCTCAGTCCCTGGGGGGATTAGTGCCTCTCTTGAAGCAGTTCCAAAGTGAAGAAGGGTGGGCAGAGCATGTGCCAAGATCTCAGCAAGTTGCTTCCGCAGGGGCAGCTGTGCTGGGCACTGGGCACATTGTCAACAGCACCCCTCAGCTTGAGGCAGTGACCCTGTGACGCCCCAGGTATACAGGTGGGGCTACTTTGGTTGGGAAGGCTGGCATGTGGTGAGGGGTACCTCAGCCCAGGTGACCAGGGCCCCCAGGGTATATAGGTAGAGGGGAAGGTCCTCCCCAGCAGAGGACCCTGGCTCTACTCTAGGCAGCTGGCACCCTGCCCCCACTACCAGTTTGTAATCACTAAGCACCAGCCAGGCCGGCACCAGCAGCCTGTGTTGGCCGCCCCTCTGACGCATCTAGAATGTGCTGAATACCTCCTTGGTGGGCCACTCTCTTCCTCGTGATACCACCCCAGGCTTTCCTCCCAGGCCCCCCAACCATGATGAATCCTGTAGGGACTTGTATGTGGTCAGATAAACCTCAGGGCTAGAGGGCAGGGAGCCTGAGATTACTCCAGTGACCCTGACTGATGACCAACTGACAGCCAGAGGGAGGAAGCGACTTGCCTGGTGTCACTCAACCTTGTGGGATCCGGACAGAGCTGGAGCTGGGACTGGGCTCTTCAGTGCCTGCCTTCCTTGCTGACCTGAATGTGTCCGTGTTCTTTTGTCCCTAGTGGAGTGGAGGGAACACTGACTTGGGCTGGAAAGGCACTGTAGATAGCTGCACAGTTAAGGACATGGACTTTGGAGCCAGACTGCTTCCATCCCTTCCTCGCTTGCCCTGTGGCTGTCCATAAAATGGCAGTGTCTGTGGGGTACCACCTCATGGGGTTGTCTTGAGAGTTAAACGAGAAGCTGGATGGCATGCACTTAGCAGACTCCAGCACGCAGTGTTCCTAGAATGGTGATTACTGCACTATTGACAATTGAGTTTTTGCGATGTTGGCCCAACCACTGAGCTTGTCTGAGCTGTGGACTTGGCAGCAGTCAGGCGGGGAGGGGCCTGGCTGCACCACAGCCCCTCTGAGGTTCGCTCTGTGAGGTTCTGTGAGAGCTGCAGGTGAAGCCACTTGGTGAGCAGGGAAGCCCCCACAGGGTAAGGGGTATAGCCGTGACTGGTCTGGCGTGAAAGCCTGTCCCCTATGGCTTTACCTCATTAGAGTGTGGCCCCAGGCCTCTCTGGAGGCAGAGACCGCACCGTGCCCAGCAGACTGGAAGATCGCGTGTGTGGGGCGCTGGCCCTTCGTGCAGCTGTGGTCTGTCGATACTCAGAAGGAACAAGCTGGGACGCACATCTGCCTGTGTGTGCTGCAGCCCTGTGAAGTCCCTGCTGGGCCCTGGCTCTCTGCAGCACAGGGGCCCCGGGGATGCCCGCCCTGTCATGGTTGGCCTGAGGATGCTGATGCCACCCGTGCTAGCCCAGCCCCTGCTCATCATCCCAGTGGATATGCCAGCATTTCCACATCTGGGGGCTGTTCACAGGAGTGTGTTTTGCTTTCTGGAGCCCTGGGCATCTTCTGCCCACTTCTTGAAAGGGTGGAGCCCTAGTTGTTTGGAAGGCCCAACCTTCAGATTATCAGTGTCTAGTTACCACATCCCCATGTGTCCTGCCAGCTTCTTAAAGGATTTTGTGTATGTGAAGCACAAACCCAATGAAGGCTCCTGGTCCACCTTTCCCAGTTTCTTGCCTTTAGTGGCTGCACCCCTAGTCCTGGCATCCCAGATCCTCCATAGCTGGCCCCACCTTCTGTGGGGGCCATTCCCTGTTTCCTTCTACCTCATGAGCATTAGGCTTAAGGCAGCAAGAACCCTGATTTTCACCTCAACATCCCCCAGCTTTCCTCTCTCCCAAACTTGGTTTATGCTTGTCCTGCCCCAGTTGCCCTTTGTCCTGATGGCCTCATCGTCCTCTCCTGGAGAGCCTTCTACACCTGGGCCCACTCCTCGCTGTTTGTGACACCAGGCAGGGTCCGTTGGCATCCCTGGCCCTCAAGGTGTCTCCTTGCATCAGGACTTGAGATTCTGTGAAATGCCACATCCTCCCTGAAGTTTTACTGAATCCTAGGGCTAGATTTCCTTTCTGCCTCCATCAAGCTGCTGGTACATACACCACTCTAGGACGCTGGGAGCCAGGCAGAACTAGGCTTGTCCTGGCTTAGCCTCTGCTCCTGTCTGAACCTCAGTTTCTGAATTATAAAATGCAGTATAACTCTTGCCTCTCTGTTTTGAGGATGAGGAGTAATTTACTCCCAGTGCCCAGGACACAGGACAGTGCCTGGCGCAGGCAGGCGCTCACTGCTGTCCAACTCAGCGCTTACAGACGGTGGTGTCCCGATTCTCCTGCTAAGCCATGAGTTCCCTAGGAGGCAGGACCCTCATCTAATGCATCTAGTGCTCAGCATCTGGCCTCAGGTCTAATGTGGCACATAGTAGGGGTTCAGTGGGTATTCGAGGAAGAAAAACAGGCACCCCACTTGCCTATGAAGTTGGATGTTGCAGTCGGCGAGGATTTAGAAAGCAGTCTCCTAAGTAGACATGGCTCCTTTAAAGGGAGGCCCACTCGCCCCCTGCTTTTGGCCCCCAGAGCAGCAAGCTCGCCTCAGTGAGTCTCCACGGGGGATGGCGCCAGAACGCAGGCCTGCAGCGGCTTAGAGGCCTCCGCACGCAAAGGCAGTCACTGGAAGATGCAGAGTGATGGTAGGGCTAATGGACACTGTGGATCATTGCAGAGCTGCACGGCAAGGTCCACGTGGCCTTTTTACTCACAATGAAAGCAATTGGTCGTCATCAGGTTTGCAGGCTTTGTCTCTCTTCGAGTACTTCAGGCCAGAGGGGCTCATGAGAAGACCCTGTCCTTGTACAGACAACCAAGGGAAGGGAGCAAACCCAGGCACCCTGACTCCAGACTTGGGCCTTTCCCTTGCCCTCAGGCTGAGCATAAAAGATCAGGCAGTACAGGTTCAGCCAGGCAGCCATAGGCCCTGCTCTGCTCCTAAGGTGACCATTGTTGTCCCACAGCCCTGCTTCCGCAGAGCCCACCCTCTGTTGGTTGGGTGTTTCTGTGCATGCCTGGAAAAGAGATGACAGAAGAACTCCAATTAGTCAGTCTCCTGGCTCCTAGACAGCTCCGGAAACTAGACTAGATAGATGAGGAGGAGGTGGGGCCTCCTGCCGTGTGACGGTTGGGGTGGCTCCAGCTCCGTCTCTGAGCTGCCCTGCCCTGCCTTGCCCTTGCCGTCCTGCAGCCCTGCTCTTCCATGCCACTCACCCTCAGCCTCTGAGGGACCCCTGAATTCAGACGTTGAAGCACCCTGGTTAGGGGGAGGATTCTTCTCCAGCAGACGTTTGAATGGTTTAGATGGGGGTAAAGTCACCTCCCTTTTGATGTGGCACCTGGAACTTGGCTGGTTTTGCGGCGTGTCTAATTAGGAAGAACCGCCTGGCACTCCCGCAGAGCTCATCGCTCACTCCGTGGTGCCAGGTGTGCTTTTAACACCTCAGGGACCTGACTGCAATAGACGCCCTGGCCCCAGAAGACCAAAAACAAGACAGACTGATTTAAAAAAAAAATGTCAGAAAGTGTCTGGAAAAGGCCAGGAGAGCCCTGGTCCAGGAGTTAAGGAGCCTGGGGCCTAGTCCCTGTGACTTTCTTCCCTTCCCCTGACCTCAGTTTCCCCATCTATAAAATGGGGTGACTAGACATACATGAGACCTTCCCTGTGTGTTTCACGTTACGTACAAGAGCTGACCTAGAGTATGGCTCCTATGTGGGGGTGTCAGATTATCAAAGTGGCACTGGCCTCGGGAGTTGTGGACCCAGAAATGGCAACAGGCTCAAAGGTTGGTATTGGGACCCTCCCGTTCCCAGTGCATTTTTGGCCTGTGAGGCTTCAGTCAGCAGGCCTTCTGTGGCTCTGTGGGCAAAGACAGCCTTGGAGGAGGAAGAGTCTTGGAGATGGGGCTCCAAGGAAGCCCCCAGGAGTGGTCGTTGAAATGGCAATATTCACAAAACGCCTTCTGTGCACCAGGCACTGTTCGAAACACTTGACGTATATGGATTCATTTAATCCTCGTAACATCCTTCCTCCAGTGGGTGCCGTTTTCTCCCCTCTAGAGATGAAGAAACTGAGGTAACTTGCCCCAGGTCACCTGTTGGAGCCAGGATTCAGACTAAGCACTCTAGTGGGATCGGTGTTTTCACCCAGCACACAGTGCTGCTATGCCTGTCGGTTCACCTGGACCCAGGGCTTTGCCTCCCTCCAGGTGGTTGGCGAGGGGCAGCCCCGCTAAGTGGCAAGTGCATCATTCCAGTAATGCAGCCCTTCCTGACACCGCTGGGGCCCTGAGCCTAATCTACCTGCAACCCTGGCGTCTCGGGCACGGATCCCCGGTGGCTGCAAAGCCATGTGAGAGAGATCAGATGGCATGCCTACCACTGGCAGAATAGAGGTTTCCTGGGTTGAGAGGTAGTGGCAGGGCCTGGGAGTGGAGAGCCATACAACTCTACCTAGCTTGCTACCCCATGATTAGGGAGTGGTATGGATTCCCAGACAAGCCCAGCTGGGAAAATTAGAGGTGAAGGGCCTGCAGGCCAGCGTCTATCATTTCCAGCAAGGCTCCTGCACGTCTGTGCCAGCCTGTGTCCTGCCCAGCTCCTCCCTGCCCAGAGGTTCCTGGGCATCACTCCTTTACCACTCCTGGGGGTGCTGCCATGCAGTACTTTTAAGGCCATCCAGAAACCCACTTCCATCTGCCTCCAGCATCATCTCCCACCAGGTACCTGTCAGTCCCCAGCCCTCTCGAGCAACCTCATGTACACCTTAAGCTTTTGACTCCCTGGGCCTCTGCCTTGGTTCTTCCTCTGGTACCCATTTTCGCCGCCACATCACTGTGCTATGACCTCCTGTCTAAATTCTTTTAAGGCCCTCCCAGGTTCCCCCAATGGAAACCTGTCTCTTAGTTATCAGATTGTGGTATCAAGTCTGCTCCCATTAAGGAGGCTGAGCTGTGTCTGTCCCTGTTGGGAGCTCTGCCTTCTCCTACCAAGAGCTTCATGAAGGCCAGGACTGCATCTCATTCCTCTCTGTCTCCTCTCATACTGGGCATTCAGTAGATAGTTGGTTGGTTGGGAGGACAGGTGGATGCCAGCACAGCTGGAAAAGATGGAGGGGGGGGCACCAGAGAGGCCTGCTGATTTCCTTGGCCTCAGTTTTCCAGCGAGCAAACCCAGGCCTTTTTTTTCTATTCCTGAAGAGAAGGTAAAGAAGTAAAGAACAGGTTTCTTCTGATGTTTACCATAAGACATGTTATGTATCATTTCATTAGATGCTTATTCTTTTTTTTTTCTTTGAAACAGAGTTTTGCTCTTGTTGCGCAGGCTGGAGTGCAATAGCGTGATCTTGGCTCACCACAACCTCCGCCTACCAGGTTCAAGTGATTCTTCTGCCTCAGCCTCCCGAGTAGCTAGGACTACAGGCGTGTGCCACCACACCTGGCTAATTTTTTTTTTCTTCTGTTTTTAGTAGAGACGGGGTTTCACCATGTTAGCCAGGATAGTTTCAATCTCCTGAACTCATGATCCGCCCGCCTCGGCCTCCCAAAGTGGTGGGATTACAGGTGTGAGCCACTGCACCCGGCCTACTTATCCATTTTTTTTGAGACGGAGTTTTGCTCTTTTGCCCCGGCTGGAGTAAAGTGGCGCAATCTCAGCTCACTGCAACCTCCGCCCCCTGGGTACAAGCAATTCTCCTGCCTCAGCCTTCCCAGTAGCTGGGATTATAGGTGCCCACCACCACACCCCTCTAATTTTTGTATTTTTAGTAGAGACGGGGTTTTACCATGTTGGCCAGGCTGGTCTCGAACTCCTGTCCTCAGGTGATCCACCCCCCTTGGCCTCCCAAAGCGCTAGGAGTACAGGCGTGAGCCACCACATCTGGCCCATCTTCTTTCAAAATACAGATTTTGAGACTCTCCATAATAAAATGTTTAGGCATACTTCATTTTATTGTGCATTGCTTCATTGTGGTTTGCAGGTATTGCATTTTTTTTTTTTTTACAAAATGAAGGTTTGTGGCAACCTTCCTTCAAGTAAGTCTATCAGCATCATTTTTCCAACAGCGTGTGCTCATTTTGTGTCTCTGTGTCACATTTTGGTAATTCTCATATTTCAAACCTTTTTATTATTATAGCTGTTACGGTGACCTGTGATCAGTGATCTTTGATGTTACTGTTGTAATTGTTTTGGGGCACCACAAACTGCACCCACAGAAGATGGCGAACTTAATAAATGTTATGTGTGTTCTGACTGCCCCACTGACTGACCATTCCTTCATCTCTTCCCCTCTCCTTGGGCCTCTCTATTCTGTAAAACACAACAATGTTGAAATCAGGCCTATTAATAATTCAACAATGGCCTCTACATGTTCAAAGGAAAGGGAGAGTCACACATCTCTCACTTTAAACCAAAATCTTGGAAATAAGCCTAGTGCAGAAGTCATGTCAAAAACCGAGATCTGCCAAAAGGTAGGCTTCTTGCACCGAATAGTTAGCCAGGTTGTGGATGTAAAGGAAAAGTTGAAGAAAATTAAAAGTGTCACTCCTGCGAATACACAATTGAAAAGAAAGCAAAACAGCCTTGTTGCTATTAGAGAGAGAGTTTGGTCTAGATAGAAGCTCAAACCAGCCACAAATTCCCTTAAATCAAAGCCTAATCTGGAGCAAGGCCCTAACTCTTCAATTCTGTGAAGGCTGAGAGAGTGGAGGAAGCTTCAGAAAAGCTAACAGAGGTTGATTTCTGAGGTTTAAGGAAAGAAGCCATTTCCATAACATGGAAGTGTGTGGTGAAGCAGCAAGTGCTGATGTAGAAACTGCAGCAAGTTATCCAGAAGATCTAGCTGAGGTCATCGATGAAGGTGGCTATGCAAAACAACAGATTTTCAGTGTAGACAAAGCAGCCTTCTATTGGAAGAAGATGCCATCTAGGACTTTCAGAGCCATAGGGAAGTCAATGCCTGGCTTCAAAGCTTCAAAGGACAGGCTGCCTCTCTTGTTAGGGACTAATGCAGCTGGTGATTGTAAGTTGAAGCCAGTGCTCATTTGCCATTCTGAAAAATCCTGGAGCCCTTAAGAATTATGCTAAATCTACCCTGCTCGTGCCCTGTGAATGGAACAACAAAGCCTGGATGGCAGTTCCTCTGTTTACAGCATGGTTTACTGAATATTTTAAGCCCACTTTTGAGACCAACTTTAAGGAAAAAAAGATTCCTTTAAAGATACTACTGCTGATTGACACTGTTCTTGGTCACCCAAGAGCTCAGCTGGGGATGTACGAGGAGATGAATGTTGTTTTCATGCCTGCTAACACAACATCCATTCCGCGGCCCATGGATCAAGGAGTAATCTCAACTTTGAAGTCTTATTATTTAAGAAATACATCTCATAAGGCTATAGCTGCCAGAGATAGTGATTCCTCTGATGGACCTGGGCAAAGTAAACTGAAAACCTTCTGGGGAAGATTTACTGTTCTAGAAGCCATTAAGTACATTTGTGATTCATGAAAGGGGTCAAAATAGCCACATTAACAGGAGTTTGGAAGAAGAGTCCAGTCCTCACAGATGACTTTGAGGCCTTCAAGACTTCAGTGGAGGAAGTAACTGCAAATATGATGAAAATAACAAGAGAACTAGCATTAGAAGTGGAGTCTGAAGATGTAACTGAATTGCAGGAATCTTATGATCAAACTTGAACAAATAAAGAGTTGCTTCTTATGGATGAGCAAAGACAGTTTTCTTGAGATAGAATCTATTCCTGATGAAGATGCTGGGAACATTGTTAAAATGACAACATAGGATTTAGAATAGTACATAAACTTAGTTGATGAAGCAGCAGCAGAGTTTGAAAAGATTGACTCCAATTTTGAAAGAAGTTCTGCCGTGGGTAAAATGTTATAAAACAGCCTTTCGCTAAGAGAAATCTTTCGTGAAAGGAAGAGTCAATCTATGTGGCAAATTTTATTGTCTCATTTTAAGAAATTCCCACAGCTGGGGGGAGGGGCATAAAAAATTTTCCACAGCCACCTCAGCCTTCAGGAACTACCACCCTGATCAGTCGGCAGCCGGCAACATCAAAGCAAGACCCTCCACCAGCAAAAAGATGACTCACTGAAGGCTTAGATGATTGTAAGCAGTTTTTGGCAATAAAATATTTTTAAAATTAAGGTTCTACATTTTTTTAAGGCAGTGGTATTGCACATTTAATAAACTACAGTATAATATAAATATAACTTTTGTGTGCATTGGAAAACCAAAAAATTTTACAGGTACCTGCCACCATGCCTGGCTAATTTTTGTATTATTAGTAGAGATGGGGTTTCACCATGTTGGCCAGACTGGTCTCGGACTCTTGACCTCAAGTGATCTGCCCACCTTGGCCTCCCAAAGTGCTGGGGTTACAGGCATGAACCACTGCACCCAACTTTGGTGGGGGGGCCTGTTTTTTTTGTTGTTGTTGTTTTTTTGTTTTTTTTTTTTCAGGGAGGCACTAAGTTGGTGAATACTGGAGCAGAGTATAGCTTGTTGCTTGTGGACTGGGCAATCTTTTAAACCCCCATCACATCCTCTCAGGATTACTGCCTGCTCTCTTCCCCAGCCCTTACCTTCTCCACATTCCCATGGGCAGACCCCGCCATGGCCGCAGTCTGTGGGGAGCACACCTGCCTAGCTCTCCTGGTGAATGGGCCCAGGCAAATTCTTAGGGTCCCTTTCAGTTCTAACATTCTCTGATTCTAAAGAAAGTGCTTTAGTCTTCTTTTCTTTCTATGTATGTAGTTCTGTTTACAAACCTTTCTGCTCCAGAGGTCAACAGAAACCCCCATCCTGTTAATGTTTCTGCTTTCTGCCTAAGAGGCATGAAATTACAGACTGCCACCTAATATTAAAGGTCATTTTGCATGAATGTGTAGATGCTGATGTTCAGATAACTTGTGACTTAAAACATATGGTCACAGACTCCCTTGTGAGATCGGTCTCTGGACCCTCATGGATTGGCCCAGCTAATAAGGAAGACGGGCCTGGTAGTTAGGCAGGAGGCAGCAACATCTGGCAAGCTGGCCTGGCACAAGGGCCTTCGATGTCCTGGAGCTGTTGGTGAGCCTCTCCCAGGAGAGAAGATGCTCCCAAATGGGCATTTTCTCAGGGAAAGGCAGCTGCTTCCTAAATACACGCAGCTCCTGGAAGCCCAGCCTGCTTAAAATCATATTTACTCTCTTTCATGTGCTCATCTTAATTACATTTTTTCTGCTCTAGTGTCTTTATTCATTATTTAAAACAACTTTCAAAAATAATTACGCGATAATCCCTTCTCCTCTACACAGTAGCTGTTTACCTTCCTGTATTGGGTTTTTCAGCTCTTGGTGTTGTGGATGTCTGTACTTACAACGTTGCTGTCATCACAGTGTAGATATAGGCCAAATCTGTGATGTCAGTATTTACCAATGCCCAGGCAAGGAGCAGAATTCCCTGTGGGGCCCTGCTCATATTGACGGAGACTTGTTTAAAAAGCCTGCGTTATACTTTGCCCCCCACACATAAACAATCTTGCATTTTACTTTTTAGCTTAGCATAATTTCTTGCATGGTTTCCCATGTCGCTACATAATCTTCAGATTGATCATTTTAATGGCTGCTTAATATTCCATCCAGTTAACATGCCATAATTTACTTAACTCTTCCCTATTGTTGGGGCCTTAATGAAAATTTGAATTCGCCATGTAATGTAGTGGGGGAGGCTTGTTTTAATGATTACCGTTATAACATCCCCTGCCCTAACTGCATGCCATTACTAGTCCAGCTTTGGTAAGGTGCAGATGCTTCTGGAACAATAAATCCTGCATGAGAGGTGTATGCACAAGTCCTCTGATTTAATAGCTAATCTGTTCACTGCACATGTTTCCCTTTAAGGCTGGTGTTTATGGAGAATATCTGTCTCTAATGCATATTGTTTAACACTAAACTGTATGCATTTGGCATATTGTCCCAGATCCTTTATCACTACTGTCAGGGACTTTCATAAAGTATCTGGAATTTGGGGGTAAATAGTGGTTTCTGGCTGTCAGTTCTGTTTCATTTATCCCACCACATTCACTGAGTATCTCTTTGGCGTGAGAGTGAGCAAAAGCACTCCTGATTATCAGGGGCCCGACGGGAAGTACATCTGTGAATTGTTTGTGGTTCCTTTAGATTAAATGGTGAATTGCATGAAAAGTACTTCATCAACTGTGTACATGGGAGTGGTTGCTGGTCCTGCTTTTGTGAAGGAGGGTGAAGAGGAAGGTGGTTTTCCCAGGTCAGTGCCTTCTCAGCTGCCGTATCCTCAGCCCCCAGAATTCTGCAGACAGGAGGCTAGACTTCACTCCTCAGAACGGAGGAAGACGAATACAGGTGATGAGGACCCTACAAGACAATAAGTTGCAGATTAGTTTGGTAGATTTAGTGATTTACGAAGTTGTCCACCGTACTTAACAGTTGGTCTTCACCGTAAAGTGACAAAGTCCTACCACTCTTTTCCCTTCTCTTTTCCTGTTCCTCCCTCGGTAAAAAAAGGAAGCATCATCCTCAAAACTAATAAATGATCCGAGTTTACTCATGGGACCCAATAAAAGCTGTGTTTGCCAAAGTGTGGGACACCTTCTCATAGATGTGATATTAGGTGCCCTGAGAACTACATAGTGAGAAGGTTTTTCCCTTCTTATTCTCTCTCTTTCCAGGGAGAGAAGATTATTCATATTTGCCAGAGAAAGTGTCTGTTTGCTGATTGCATTTCCCGGTGGCTCTCCAACACTTGCAAATCTCACCTCTCAGCAGAGAAAGCAAGCCCCACGCTCAGCTTCCCAGCAGGCATCAGCACCTACCTTGCTGGTTTTTATTCATTCTGCTTAGTATCTATTTTTGGCAAAGAATAATGGCTTATGGGATGGTGATCCAAAGTCTCTTTTTTAAATGAGTTTATTTTATCTAAAAAGTGAGGCGAGATAAATAAAAATGATAAGTAACCACCCAGGTTACTACCACCCAACTGGTAGGCAGAAATGGCCCAAGTCATGAAGTCACATGACTAAATAAAGCTTGGGAAATACTAGCATAAAGTTAATTCATGTAAACACTAATGATCACAGGCACAGTATCCTTGGCTTCTGTTTCTTCGTGGCGTGTGTCCACATGAGCCGGCCTGAATCATAAAGCCCAGCCTGAAAGCAGCTCTCTTTCTCGGAAGGGCTGATGTCATTTGTGTGTGTTTTATCAGCTGCTCTTCAAGGAGCATAACTCCTGTGGCTTCTGCCATATCTTTATGCCATCAGAATTCTGATTTCGGGAAGACCTCAAGAGAGCATTGAAATAGCTCACTTACAGTCCTCACCCCTTTTGCATCAAGGCTCACCTCTGCTCCCTCACCTCCTTGGACCTGGTACTCCAGCCAACATGGACGGTGAATATACATAATGATGGAATATTAGCCTGAAAAAGGAAAGTCATACACAGGCTACAACATGGAAGAACCTTGAAAACATTATGAAACTGAATGATTCCACATTGTTCAGGATGTGCCTAGACCGATCAGATTCATAGAGACAGAAAGTAGAAGGGTAATTGTGGGGGCTGAGGAGGGATAATGGGGAGAGTTAGTGTTTAATGGGTACAGGGTTTCAGTTTGGGAAGATGAAACAGTTCTAGAGATGGATGGTGCCAAAGGTTCCCAATAGTGTGAATGTACCTAATGCCACTGAACTGTACGTTAATCATGGCTAAAATGGTCAATGTTGGCTGGGTGCGGTGGCTCACACCTGTAATCCCAGCACTTTGGGAGGCAGAGGCAGGGAGATCACATGAGGTCAGGAGTTCGAGGCCAGCCTTGCCAACATGGCAAAACCCCGTCTCCACTAAAAATACAAAAATTAGCCAGGTGTGGTGGTGCACATTTGTGCTCCTAGCTATTTGGGAGGCTGAGACACAAGAATCGTGTAAACCCGGGAGCCAGAGTTTGCAGTGAGCCGAGATTGTAGCACTGCACTCCAGCCTGGGTAACAGAGTAAGACTCCATCTCAAAAAATAAAATAAAATAAAAAAGTGCTCAATGTTATTATATGTATTTTACCACAATAAAAAATAAAGTAGGCAGCAAGCACGTTCTTTCCAGCCTCATCGCATTGGCTTGCCCTGGTCCTACCACCAGGAAGCCACCCCTCTCCTGCTTCCACTTGTCAGAGCTGACAGTTCAAATGCCATCTCCCTTCCCTCCTGCCCTGCCACTCCCAGGCCCTACACTGAGCCCCCTTTGCCGCCAAGCATGATGGTAATTTAGGCACATGTTGTGTCTGCTGGGAACAGTGAGGTTCCTGAAACCAACCTCCATGGTAAACCTTCCCCACATTCCCCGCTTGGGCCATGCACATAGTATCCATGATCAAACAGCAGGTAAAATTTCCCTGTTTGACTGGGAAGTGCCTGATTTTAGCATCCTAGCATCCATCCTTCCAGCCACTACTGGCCTCCCAGGACTGAGCAGCAGCCAAAATGAACACCTCCTGTCTGGGACCTCGTCTAGACAGGCAGTCATCCCTCAGCCCACACCAGTGCCAGGCCTTAGCATCTTCTCTAGAAGATCAAGAGCTTGCTTTCTTTATTCAGAAGTGAAGCTGGACACCCTCTCAAATCCCTAAATAAATTCAGTCTATTTAAAAGATGGTCTGGGGGAGGTAGAAATAAAGGGAAGGGGTCACTCAGGCTTTGCGGGGGAGAAAAGTGGCCTCTGGTCTCCTTGGGGAGGCTCTTGTTGGTTCTTTTAAATGAATGTGTGAGCTGGTGGGAACTGGGAACTGCATGGCCCAGTCTTTTCCTTGTACAGATGAGGACTGAAAGTCCAAAGAGGGCAAGGAACTGCCCTAGAGGGAAAGACCCCAGCCTGTTTATGAAGCAAGGGGTCAGAAGCTCTGCGTGTTCTGGGTGGGCATCAGGACACACCTGGAGCATCATGTTCACATCTGGGCTCTGCCTCTTAAGCCTGAGATTCATGAGTGGATGGAGGCAGGGCTGTCATTAGGCCTGCGAGCATGTGAGCCTTGTGAGCAAGCCTGGCCCAGGAAGAGCAGAGACGCGGCACTGGGGGTTGGTGGGGTGGGTAAAACCCAGACAGGGGTCTGTCTCTCTGTCGTTCTCACCTCCCCGCTGGCAGCTCTGAGTTTGTGGTGTTTCTGGGTGGGAATGCAGGTGAGGAAGTGCAGTATCCATTTCATCTCTGCTTCCTTCCTTTTTGCCTGCAGAATTTCAGAGGCAGGAAAGTGTCCGGTCCCAGCATAAAGGTATCCAGTTATATGACACCCCTTACGAACCTGAAGGCCAAAGTGTTGACTCAGACTCGGAGAGCACAGTCAGCCCCCGACTGCGGGAGAGCAAGCTGCCCCAGGATGACGACAGGCCCGCCGATGAGTACGACCAGCCTTGGGAGTGGAACCGGGTCACCATCCCAGCCCTGGCAGGTAAGGAGCCCTGACCCTGCTCAGGAGGCAGCTGCTGAGCTGCGCTCAGCACTCACCTTGGTCCCCACCTGCGCTCAGGACAAACTCCAGGGTTGTTTAATAATCCAGTTGGGTGGTCTTTTTTCTCAGTACCCTCACAGATGTAGGCTGCAGAGGAAAGGGAGAGGTGAGGGTAGGGAAACCAGGCCGAGGAGAAATTCTGGGTCTGGCTTCCAGGGTCTCAGTGTTCCAGCCTCCACACTTTAAAGAGAGGGCTCAGATGCTCTCATTGTCTGGTTCTGTCTTGGTCCTATTTATTGATAATACCCTAGCTCACTGAAGCCAAGAGTTCAGTTTTTGGTTTATTTATTTATTTATTTATTTTTGAGACAGAGTTTCGCTCTTGTTGCCCAGGCTGGAGTGCAGTGATGCGATCTCGGCTCACCGCAACCTCCATCTCCCAGGTTCAAGTGATTCTCCTGCCTCAGCCTCTCAAGCAGCTGGGATTACAGGTGCCTGCCACAATGCCCAGCTAATTTTTTGTATTTTTAGTAGAGACGGGGTTTCACTATGTTGGCCAGGCTGCTGTCAAACTCCTGACCTCAGGTGATCCGCCCACCTCGGCCTCCCAAAGTGCTGGGATTACAGGCGTGAGCCACCACACCCGGCCTGATTTCAGTTTTCAGAAGGAACTTTCTTAGAAGGTAAGAGGAACCCAGTGTGCACAGCAGCTCCTGTTGGCCCTCAGCGGGCCCATTGATCCCACCCAGTGCTGCGAGCTGAGCTAGCCCTGCAGGGCTCACAGGACCACTGTGTCTTCTATCCCAGTTTCAGCGTGCACACGCTCACAGAGCACAGGTGATGGACAGAGCTCAGCCCCTCCCAGATGACCCTCCCCTGGCCAAGAGCCCCTTGAGTGACTTGGGTATCTCCTTCCTACTCAAAGGCTGGTTTTTCTAGAATCTGGGTATCTGTCACAATTCTAGAACTCCTCTCCCACAGCCCTTTTGAAAAGTGATCTTGGGCATGTGCATCATAAGTCATAAATCTAAGCTAACACCTTTTTATTCTAATCCCACTCCTTAGAATCTGTGCCAAAGTTATGATAAAAAATTCAGAAGGCCGGGCGCGGTGGCTCACGCCTGTAGTCCTGGCACTTTGGGAGGCCGAGGCGGGTGGATCACCTGAGGTTGGGAGTTCGAGACCAGCCTGACCAACATGGAGAAACCCTATCTCTACTAAAAATACAAAATTAGCTGGGCGTGGTGGCACATGACTGTAATCTCAGCTACTCAGGAGGCCGAGGCAGGAGAATCGCTTGAACCTGGGAGGTGGAGGTTGCGGTGAGCCGAGATCGCACCATTGCACTCCAGCCTGGGCAACAAGAGCAAAAAATAAAAATAAAAAATAAAAAAATTCGGAAAAGGCACTGTTTATAATCATGGAAAATGGAGAGCAACCCGAATGTCCAGCAATGGGGACTGGATTTCTGTGCGTCTGTGTGGTGGAATATTGGAATGTTGTGTAGCCTCTAAAAGGTGATGTTCAGCAAGAGTTCATAATAACCTAGAGAAATGCTTATGTCTAATGTTAAGAGATGAAAAGCCAGATGCCAAACAATGTTTAGGTATCTCAGAGTTTAGGCATGTAAAAAGAGAGACAGTGAGTGACATTTAATTCCTACCACACTGACAATCATAAAGGGAAACTTTTTATCTTTAGTTTGTTTAAAATTTATTTTGCCTTAAATCTCCCCTTTTTTTGTATATAACTAGACCCTTTCTACCTTTCTAACCCCGAACAGTGAGGCCTCTACCCTGCCCTCATCCCAGGCCCCTTAATTGCTGTTCTAGCCATTCCAACACAGATTACTCACAGTTCTGTGAATATAGCATGCGCTGAGCAAATCCCATTTTTCTAGCTAAAATGCCCTTCCCTGCCTGTCTTATCTGGAACAATTCTATGCCTCCTTTGAGGCCCAGCTTAAACATTATCATCTCTCCAAGCCCTCCCTGGTACACAGCCATGCACTCCACAGGCTTCCTGCTGCCCCTATAGGTCTGTCGAGTTTCCTGCATACATCACTGGGGGAAGATTTCTCACACCACATCAGGGTTAGTTCTGTAGATGTTGGTCTTGCCTGCCAGGCTGTGAGGTCCTCAAGGACAACCTGTCCCATCACCTTTCTGGAGCCCCAGCCCCTGGCCGAGAGCCAAAGATAAGAGTCATCCTGTGGCTGTAGGTCCTTAGTTGCCCCAGGTCTCCCCTGTGCATTTTACAGCCTCCTCTGTTCCCTTGAACCAAAGGAACCCAAGGTCTGTCCCCTGGGCATGGCTGATCAGGGGCTGTGTTTCTCTGGGCATGGGAGGAACTGGGGCCATCCAAGAGCTTACTCTTTGCAAACACCAGTTTGATTAAAGGGCTAAAAAGGCTCATGTGACAACTTTCCCAGACACCGAGGACCCACATTATAATGCAGCACCACAGGCAGGTGTGGGGACTCACCCTCCCCTGGACTGACCCCCTGTGGGCCTCTCAGGGGCTGCCCTTGCCTTTGATGGTCTAGTCTAGTCTGGCATCTTGTTACTCAAAGTGCAGTCCCTGAACCAGCAGCATTGGCCTCACCCAGTGCTGGTTAGAAATGCAGGGTCTCAGGTCCCATCCCAGGCCTATGAGTCAGAATCTGTTTTAACAAGATCCCAGGTGATCTGTGAAAGTGAAAAGCAATTCCCCTATTGGACATCATCTTTGAAGAAAACTCTCAGGCCAGAACTTGCCCACTTCTGCCCAAAGGTGGTTTTAGAACTCCTGTACATTTAGTTGTTCACAAAGGATCATAAGGTCTCAGATGGAACTGTCTCAGAATGAGTTTCTGAGCCCACAAGCATCCGTTTTGGCCTGGGTTTTGTGTGGCAGAGTTGCCATCACAGGTGTCACGGTCAGTCTGAGTTATTGGGCTGTTGATAGAAGATAGACAGAGAATCACATCCACGTCTGTGTCTCATCCGGTCACTGGCCTCTGTAGGTCCTACTCCAGGGCGGGTGCTGGCTGTGCTTTTCCCAAGCTGCTTTTGGCTCAGTTCTGCTTCCTGGGGCATAGAAGGAGGAGGCCATCTCACTCAGGAGCTGGAGGGGTCCTATGGGCACCAGCCTTCTCTTCCCATGTCTGTGGACAGAGTCCATTAGGCGCAGCATTGGCAGGTGAGAAGCATCCTCACTGTTACTGTCGCTGGAGGGAAAGTGGAGAGGTGGGTGGGCCACCTCTCAAGTGGTGAGGATAAGTTGAAGCAGCTCGGTTAGATTGCTGATGTGTTGCCACAGCCCCATGTGTAAAACCAGAAGTGCAGCTTCCCGGGAAGGATGGCGAGGACCCCCACCTGAGTCAGTGTTGTGTGTGCATGAGAGTGTACATCCATCTGCATGTGTGTGGGTGTGTATGCAAGTGTATGCACTCACACTTGAGCGAGTCGTTGGTGTGGTCAGTGAGTAAGGCAGCTTGGCTGGGCCCCATCCTTAGCATAGTACCTGTCAGAAATGCCCTGTGCAGTTTTTTCTTGGCTTTTGGGAGCTCTCTGCACTGAGTCTTTGGAGCCTGAGGTGCAGGATCCATAGCTGGAGGAAGAGCTGTATGGGGTGGAGTTGGCTGGCCAAAATCATTACCCTCTCCTTTCACCCCTTATATTTGCTGATTGTGCAGATTTGGCCTGGATGGGGAAACTTGGGCGGGGAATGGGGTCAGTGCTTTCAAATTTCCAAAGGGTGGAGAGTGTGGGGGACTCCTAAGGGACAGACCTGGGCCTGCCAAAGGGGGAGTCACAGGGATGTAGGGCCCAGGTGAAGGGTAAGAATTTTGGTTAGAACTGAATGTGTGTAATGAGCTTCCCATCACTGGGGGTTTGCAAGCAGAAGCTTGAGCGAGGCAGGGCTCTGACAAAGGGCGTGTCCTGGGAGGTCAGTCTGCAACCAGCTCTGGGTATGCATCCAGGCTTCATTCCATCAGAGCCTCAGCGTGCTGGTCAGAGACAGGGAGAGGGGAAGATGGCTGAATTAGCTCCATCCATCTATGAAGCAAAAGTGCCTTCCAGCTTTCAAAGCACTGTCCCGAATTGCGTTCAAGAAAAGCACCTCTCAGGCACTGCCTCAGCATTCTCCACCGGGGCGCCCTTCTTGGGCAGTGTTTCTGGAAGTCAGCGCCTTCCTTCCCATCTCATCAGGCTGGGGCTGCCACCGCGGAAGGCTCAGTTATCACTTCCCAGTTGTCACAAAAACAGCTCTTAGAGTGTGTGAGGTGGCCCCAACTTCTTAGGAATGAAAGTTTCCCCTTCTCTGAGAATGGCTGACATGGAATTTAATTAAGGATTCAGAGAGTTGTTGGTGAGAAATACTTGGAGCCGTCCAAACAGCAAACCCTGGGTGTTCGTTGCCTGCTCTTCTCCAGGAAGCTGACTGTGGCCTCACCAGACCCCCACTCCCACTTGTCGGATCCCAATCCCCAGGACAATGCCCAGTCAGGTTCCACCACGGGCTGCTGGCTGCAGGGAGTGGACTGCAGCTCTGCCTCCACAGGGAAGTGATGTGGCTTCCATCAAGCTGTCAGCCCCCTTCCCACCCGGCAGAGACACCAGCCTTCCAGAGCAGGCTAGACTCTGTTCCTGGCCCACTTTGAATCACCCCAGGAGTCTTTACAGCAACCAGCAAGGCCAGCAGTTGGGTCTAGAAATGGCCTTCTTGCTCTGTCCCCAACCCACCCCCGCCAGGTGCAGCTTGGGCCCACACGAGGCCTATGTGGCACCCCCTGCCCAATGTTGGGAAGGGGACAAGGAGCCTTGGATGATGTCATGGTGTCTGGGGGTGGTGCAGGTTGGTGTGGCAGGTCTACCTGGTTGCCAGGCTGTGTGGCACAGATTGCAAGATGGACAAATGGAACCTGAGCAGAAAGTGGCCACGTAGGGAGGGGCCCACAGGCAGGGACCAAGGAGCCGGGGTGGATAGCCTGTAGAAGCAGACCTCGGTGGAGGTGGCAAAGACACCAAATCGGTGTCTTCACACCTCTGAAGGACCAGTGTGAGGACTGGGCATGAACATGTCCTGGGAGTCTCAGTTTCTCCACCTGGGAAGTAAGACCAGTAGTTCCCACTTCAGAAGGGTCTTGGTGAGATTTGATGGGTATCACATCAGGAAAGTACTGGCATTGTTGCTAGCATTTACTGAGCACTTTCTGTGTGCATTCTCTCATTCAATCCTCATAATCACCCTCTGGGAGGTTAGTTTCCTCCTTTTACAGATAAGGAAGCTAAGGTCCCATGAGAAGAAATAACTTGGCTGGGGGCCCAGCCCATGGCTGGTCAGCAGCAGAGCCGGACTTTGAACCTGTCAGCTCCAACTCCAGAGCCCCTGCCCTAACCCAGTCAAATGTCTGGCCTCTCTGGTGCTATCCAAGATGCTGCAGGAAATATGATTGGAGCTCTCATCCCCCCACAGCCCTCAAGAGGTATCGCATGCCCTTCATCTCACTTGCACTAATTTCTTCATCTCACTTGCACTAATTTCTGCGACATCTACACCAGGATATGTAACTGGGTGGTGGCTTCCCACCTGAAATGGATCCAGTCAGGGTTTCTGTGGGGGACTGGGTTCTGGAGGTTCGTGCTTTCATTGGAGGGGGACCAGCGCCATCCCATGGGTTGGTCTTCTCCTACCACCACTCAGCACAGAGAGGGGCCCGTATACCATAGAGTCCCACATACCATAGAGTCCCACTCCCTGTCCTTCTGGGGAAACTAAGGCTCAGAGTGGAGAAGGGAACAGCTGGAGACCTCATGGCAGAGCCAGTCAGGCCATACATAGAGGAATGACCAGCATTTCCTTTTAACCCAGTGAGTAAACGGCTATGTCTTTAATAATTTGCACTTGTATCTGAGAAGTAAGTAACTGCAGCTCTTGAGCTTGATAGAGGAGCCAGATGACAGGAGGGTGTGTGAAGGGCACCCCCCAGACCTTCTTGAGAAACTAAGTCATCTCATTTCGATTCACCATCTGAAGCTTTGTCTCCGTGAAAGTTACTCTTCAGGCAGTGTCCTTGGCTCAGCCAGGTCTGCCTCATAGCAAAGATAAAAGACACATGACTCAAATACTGCTCAGCATACTTATTTTGGGTACTTATCTGTCTTCCCCACTAGCTCCTTGGCAGATTTCTCTGCCCTAGAAGTTTAGGACAGTGTCTTGCATGTTGGGACCCATGGGGCAATGGGATGAGTCAGACAGTCCCAAGTTCACATGCCGGCTCCACCCTTCACCACTTCGGGACCTGAGACAGACTGTTCAGTCTCCCTGAGCCTTAGTTTACTTATCTGTAAAATGGGGATGGTCACAACTTCTCACACTGGATCTCTGTGTTGATTAAATAAAAACAAAAGATCTGAATGAAAAGACATGGTAAGCCCTAAAGGATCATTTGGTGTTTTGGTTTTCAGAATTGGTTTTGGTGTTCAGAGGGGGCTTGCTGTATTACATAAAATTCAATTTAACATAAAAACCATGTTGCATAAAGAAGTACTTAGTGGCCACAGAGGACCTGTTTCCAAAGCTCATTCCCAGTTATGCCTGGCAATGGGAAGCACGGATGGTGTGGAAAGCACCACTTCTTCAGGAAACCCCATATCCCAATTCCAGCAACAGTTCTAACGAGTCCCCTGGTTCTTCCATTCTTTACTCAGTCCCTCCCGAGGATTGGGCCACTGGTCCCCTGGGTGGGAGAGGGTCCCCAGGGCCTTCCTCCGATCCGCGCCTTCCCTATTCTAGGTCTGACATGTCTGTGGATTTCTTTTTTGCCTGGAGCAGTAAGTCTTAAACTTGAAGGCATCAGAATCACCTGGAGGAAGTGTTATACAGATTGCTGGGGTTCCACCCCCAGGGTTCCTGATTCGGTAGATCCGGGGTGAGGCATGGGAGTTTGCATTTCCAACAGGTTCCCAGGTGATGCTGATGCTGCCATCTGGCGACCCCACTTTGAGAACATAGAGGGTACAGAGTACATGCTTTGTATTAGGTGTGGGGTTGGGATAGAGTTAGGGAGGGGAAGTCACCTCCTCCAGGAAGCTTTCCCTGACACAACCGGTTCCTTCCCCTCTGTGCTTCTACTACACCCTGTACTGGAGTACATTGGTTTATTCGGAAATAGCTAGATACGCACTAGACACTGTCAGCGTGTGGGGTGCTTATGCTATGGTATCACCCCTTAGCCAGCCTCCCTCTTGAGTTTTGACACCTTCAAAGCCTCATCAAATGAGGCTAAAAGGGAAAGTAAGGCCCCAGGTATGTCTATTTCCTAAACAACTATGAATCATCTCAGAGCCAGCTCAACTAGCTAATTTAAAATAATCCCATTAAGGTAAGGAAGGATGGGGAGGAACCAGGGACAGGAAATTAACATTTATTGAGCAATAATTATAAACCTGGCATAGGTTAACCCTACAGAGCCTTGCAAGGTAGGGTTCACTTCATTGTCGTCACTCAGATGACAGTAGTGAAGCTCAGAGAGGGTGAGCAGCTTGCCCACAGTCACACAGCTGTGAACTTGGGCCAGTCTGACTGCACAGCACTTGTTCTCTCCACTGCTGCCTTGATATCCTGTGTGTGGCTGGGGTCAGGCTGGAATTCCCTTGCACACCGGTACAAGGCAGAAGCAGTTGCACCCATACCATGTTGCCCTCGTGACTTGTCACCGTCCCCCTCAAACACAGTCGCTCTGAAGCTGGTTTAACACCACCATTGTGTGTGTAGGGCACTGCTCCACACTTGCTATTCCCACCAAGCTATGTGACTCATCTTCACGTGCTCAGAATAAACAGGGCCCCGGCATCTGCAGAGGGTCCCTTGGAGAACCTTAAACCCGGCCACCACCACCACCTGTCCTAGCCAGGAGAATGCTGTCTCTTCCAAACTGGCTCCCCTTAGGCTCCCATGATGCTTCCTGTCCCCTGTATAGCTTCCCAGAATGCCTTGAGCCTGTGAGGAAATTAACAATTGTGTTGGTACCAAATGCTTTTTGCTATGTAATGAGTAACAGTTGTAATTAATGTTTAACACCTGTGAACAGCAGGTCTGCCCAGGAAAGGGGGGTTTCAGTGAGAGAACGGGGATCACTTGTTTCCTTTGGCTAATGTATTACTGAGGGACAGGTTTTTCCAGTTGGTTTTTCTATTTGACGTATGAATAAATTCATTTAGTAATCTTAAAAAAAGGAGAGGAAAAAAACACCAATGTTTAATAGCTTTGTTTCATCTGCTAATTACATTGATAGAAATATTCCTCCAAGTGCCTTTGTCTCCTCAGTGGAAAAAAAACAAAGATTTGATAGAATACTTTTGCTCTTCTGTTTGGCAGCTCAGAGATCTTCATGTGGAGATTTTTAAGTTCCCTGAGGTCAGAGACCCTGCCTGTCTTGTTCACACCTGTGATCTGTGCCTGGCACACAGTGAGCCCTCAGATATTTGAGTAAATCAGGCCAGACGCAGTGGCTTACGCCTGTAATCCCAGCACTTTGGGAGGCTGTGGCGGGTGGATCACCTGAGGTCAGGAGCTCGAGACCAGCCTGGCCAATATGGTGAAACCCTGTCTCCACTTGAATCCAGGTCTCTACTTGAGTCCAGGTCTCCTGAATCCTGGAGGCCCCTAACAAGTTCAGCATAAACCCTGTGTGAGTGCAATACAGTCTCAAAAACAACCACAGTAACCACAGTGATACATCTATGAGCACTCACTGTGCCCCCAACTCTCAGTGCATAGTACCGCCCCCACTGTACAGATGAGGAAACAGAGACAACTTGGCCCAGGTCATCCCGCCAGCAAGTGACAGCACAGGACTTTAAATCCAGATACCCCGGCCCCAAAATACAAAATTAGCTGGGCATGGTGACAGGCACCTATAATCCCAGCTACTCAGGTGGCTGAGGCAGGAGAATCACTTGAACCCCGGAGGTGGAGGTTGTAGTCAGCCGAAATCGTGCCACTCACTCCAGCCTGGGCAACAGAGTGAGACTCCGTCTCGAGAAAAAAAAAAAAAAAGATATTTGAGTAAATCGGGTCTCAGGAAAACCAACCCTGTGTTCTCTTAGGAGCAGTAGAATACCAGTAAATCTCATGGCCTGCCCACACACAGTCGGTGTGTTTTCATGTCTTTCTTGCATGCTGTATACCTGTCTCCTCACTAGGTGAGGCAGTAGGAGGGCATTTCTGAGTAGCCATTGACTGCTGTGGCTGCCACCTCTGGTCTCAACTTCCAGGGAGAAGTGGACAGCATGTCCCTGCCTGTCTGAGGATTGACTATGAATCCAGATGCCACATTGTGGGCCTGGAGACTGGTGTGTTGGTTGGGTGCAGGCAGCCCTGGCAAGCCATATTTGTGGCCAGTACCTGGCTTGTCCCCCCGACCTCCACTCCCCATCTCTCCTGGCCTCCCTCACAGCCATCCACAATGGGCAGCAGAGAAACATACACAGTGGGGCTGGGGCTTTGGGTCTTATGGACAGGGAGACTCATTTCCACAAATGCCCAGCCTGCTCCTTGCAGGTCTTTGGGCTTGTGGATGGGGAAAAAGTCACTTTCCCAGGCTCTAGGATTCTAAATAAGTGTCTGTGGGTGTCTGCAGGTGAAAGTGTCGGGAGACATACTGTATCAGACGTGTGTAGGTCCCAGGTATGTTTTACAGATGGGCCTGGCCCGGAACTCAGGAAGGAGCTCAGGTGCTGGGGCCAGGGGTATCTGGATTTAAAGTCCTGTGCTGTCACTTGTTGGCGGGATGACCTGGGCCAAGTTGTCTCTGTTTCTTCATCTGTACAGTGGGGGCGGTACTATGCACTGAGAGTTGGGGGCACAGTGAGTGCTCATAGATGTATCACTGTGGTTACTATGGTTGTTTTTGAGACTGTATTGCACTCACACAGGGTTTATGCTGAACTTGTTAGGGGCCTCCAGGACTCAGGAGACCTGGACTCAAGTCCAAGTTCACGTCTAACTGTTGACTCTGGGTGAGTCAGTCCTTTTTCCAGCCCTCCATTTCCCATCTGCATAATGAGTTATGACAATAAATATGGCTTGCTTTGGCAGCCGTAGAGGCCTCTGCGTTCGGGTTATTTCATCATCTTCATCGGGCTTTATCTTTAGATTTCCTGTAGTCAAGCATCAGATCTTAGGGTGGGGTCTTTGCTCCCAGTAATAGCATTCATTTTTCCTCTGGGGATGTCACAAATAAGAGAAGAAAGGCATGCCCCTTCTGCCAGGCCCGCCGTCCCCATCCCAGGTTTGGACATGTGTGTACGGCGTTCCTGGAACCCAGGCAGCGTCCTGGCACCTGCTTCACAGCCTTCCCGCTTGCCTGCTTTGTGGTGAGTCGCTGGCCGCCTCCCCTCACAATGAGGACCTCTGTTCTCAGGCACCTCCCATCATGAGTGGCAGCACAATGCCCTGAGGCCTGTGTGTGTCTTCCAGGCGAACACAGAGGCCTCTTGTTGGTGATCCTGGAAATACAAATCAAACATTTGCTAAGCCACTTGTCCTACAGGTACCTGAAAGGAACCTACACTCACTGGGCAGGTGGGGTAGGTGGGTGAGCAAAACTCACTCTTGAACTAGAGGGAAGAAGGGGCCTCACCTCTCTGGGCCTCGGTTGTGTCATCTATAAAATGGTAATTCTCATACTTGTTTGGGAATTCTAATACTTGTTTTGCTGTGTGTTGGTGAGGGTCAGATGAGATGATACAGTACGTTGTTTGGAAAGCTGAAACAGCAGAGGCCCATTGTCATGTGAACAGGGTTTCAGTCATCTACAGATGTTAGTGCATTGTTGTGAAAGTTGATGGCATTTTCATAGACTCCGGGGGTCATGTAGTCCACCCTACCTCCCAAACCAATGCATAATCTCCCCTCCTTGCCCCTTCCTGGGGTCGCACAACTACCTGGGCAGCAGTGCCTTCTGGGCTCTCCACCTCAGCTCTCCCCACTCTCACCCACCTTTCCCCCTCACCAACACCCCAGAGTCCCAGCCTAGCTGTTGGTGCTGTGCAGGAACCCCTGCCAGGGACTGTGCAAGGCCTTGGGCACCTTGACTCTGCCTCTGTACATTCGTGAACCAACACCAGGGCTGCAACAGCCTTCAAGCCCCTCCTGTCAGCCACATATGGTTTACAAATGTGGCCCATGTTCATTCCAGCTCATGTGCAGAGGGGCTAAGAAGCCTGTGGCGGTTGAGAGCTCCTTGCAAGCAGTCTACACACGGTGCCTTGTTTTTCATCATTCCAACCTTTATTGCCTCTGTTTAAAGGAAACTCCATCTTATACTGGAGAACTGAGAGGGTCATAGACTTCAGGCCAGAAAGAAGCAGCCAGACAGTCAGAGCTTGGAGAACCATGCCAGTCTCCTCTGGGTCCTGTTGCTCCGTTCCAGTTCTCTTTGAATGACCCCCTATCCCCGGGGGCCACTGCCCGCACCCTTGGTCAATGGTGAGGACAAGAGGATGTGCGGCAGACTGTCAGCTCTTCTCTCACTGCACCTCCGCCGGGGAAGGCACTCCTGGGTTGGGGAGGCTGCCCAGGGCTGCAGTCCCAAAGCAGAGGGCTCAAGGGCTAGCGCTGGGACCCATTGCCTGTCATAGCAACCTGTTCCTATTGCCCTGGGCAACTTACCTAACCATACCGGGCGTCACTTTTAAAAACGAGGGCAGTAATAGCACTGACCTCATAGGTTTGCCACAACAACTAGAGGAGAACGTGGACTTTAAGTCCCCCATGGTGCCTGCCCATGAGCAGGAATCACTAAATAAAGAGTAAGCTAGGCCAGGCATAGTGGCTCCTTCCTATAATCCCAGCGTTTGGGGGAGACTGAGGTAGGAGGATCACTTGAGGCTAGGAGTTCAAGACCAGCCTGGGTAAGATAGCGAGAGGCCACCTCTACAAACTTAAAAAAAAAAAACTTAGCCCAGCATGGTAGCATGCACCTGTAGTCCCTACTGCTTGGGAGGCTGAGGTAGGAGGATGGCTTGAGCCCAGGAGTTCAAGGTGACATTGAGCTATGATCGTGCTACTGCACTCCAGCCTGAGCGACAGAATGAGACCCTGTCTCTTAAAAAAAAAAAAAGAAAGATGAAGCCATTTTTCAAAACTGTTCCCAAAATCACTTGAGTGAGTCCAGCTCCTGAGTTTCCTTTGTTGACTGATGAATGGAAGATTTACAGTCCTGCTGAGCCAGGTGCAGGTTCATTCCTTCAACTGATGTTGAGCATCCACTGTACATCAGACACTGTTTTAGGTATCGGGAATTTAGCCTTGAACAAAACAGAATGAAATGCCCTATCTTCTTGGAGCTTCTCACTCAGGAATTTCAGCAGGAGTCAGAAAAAGGGGTGGTTTCTGATACAGGCATTGTATCAGAGCGTACATGTGACCATGGGTCAGGGTCTCCCGCTTACAGGGGGCCTGCCTGGACCTTGGTACATCATCTGTTACCTTCACGGTACAGGTATTGTCAGCCCTGGTTTGCAGATGAGGCAGCTAAGGCTCAAAGAAGTTTAAGAAACATGCCCCAAGTCACTCAGTAATGACAGAGACAGGATTCAAACCCAGGTCCTCCTGACTCCTAAACTGTGAGTCGAGTCACTGCAGCTCCTCCATTCCCTGGGTGGGTTTCAGCCACGGGCCATTCATCGGAGCTAGCTGCAGGTCGGCCATGGGGAGACTCCGAGGAGACTGAGGCACATGGCCCCATCTCTGCAAAGTGTCCAATTCTGAGAAGACACCTACATGCCTCAGTGTTGCAGAGGCCAGTGCCAGGACAGTGGTGCAGACTTTGGAGCTCAGAGGAGGAGAAAGGAATTCTACCTGGGGGTCTAGAGCAAAACCTACCCCAGGAGATAACGTTGGAGCTGAGCTCTGAAGAATAGCTGGGGTTTTTGCAGAGAAATAGTGAAGTAAAGGGATTCTAGAGGGTAGACTTAGCCAAACAAAGCCCTAAAGACAAAAAGGCAGATGATAGATCTGGGGACTGGCTGTCCTTTGTGATTGGAACCTAAGGGTGGGTGTGGAACCCACAGGGGTTTTGTAGGGGAAGTTGCATCATTACATCAAATTCAGAGGAACTTGAGCGCCAGAATGAATTTGTCCTTTGTCTTGGGGCACTGGGGAGCAGGGAGGGTTTGCAAACCCAGGAGAGCTATGCTTTAGAGGTCCATCGGCTTTTTGGAGTTTACTCTCTGGCCAGCTCTGAACAGTGGACAGGACAGTGGAAAGAGATCCACCCTGAAGGAACACATTTATCTCATCCAAGCACCTTCTCCACATGAAACTTCTGTGAGTTAGGGGCAGACAAGAGACTGGAGAGGGCAAAGAAAAATAAATCCCAGGCGCAGCACCCACAGCACCCAGGCTGACTGAGAAGAGTGGTGTGGATGCCCCCTGAGCTACAGGAGATGTACTGAGGGCTGGGAGCCACCAAGAGGGAGATGATAATTCTCTGCAGGTGGCATCAGGGTAAGCTTTGTGGAGGAGGTGGCGTTTGTGCCAGACCTTTCCTAGACATCATTCAGATGGAGCAGAAGGGCAGTAATTCCAGGCCTAGAAGTAGGAAGTGCACAGCAGGGAGGCCAGATGAATGAGGCCCAGCTCCTGCCAGACCAGCAGCCCTCAGGTATTCTTGTGGGGAATGAAGACCCAAGGGTGGGGTGAGCCTGACCTTGCAGGCCTGCAGTCCTGGGCTTGACCCTCACCCTGCTATTTGGCTTTGAGACCCTGGAGGAGTTCCTCCTACTACTCCTCTGGACCGCCGTTCCTCACCCATTACCCACGTGGCAGGGCCAGTAGGAGGGATAGAGCTAAGCTAGGTGTCTTGGATGCTGTCTTCTGTTGTTGGCAGTGACCACATTTTAGGACTGATTGGTGTAAAATCTGTCATACAAGCAGAAAGGGGACCAATCCAGATGGGAGGGCCAGGAAAGCTTCCTAGAAGCAAGGCACTTGAGCTGGGTCTCAAGGAATGAGTCCTGCCACCATGGCAGAACTTTTGGAAAAACATTGACCAGCCTCTCTCTTCCATCAACCACCAGGGTCTGGTCCCCATCATTGGAACCAAAGTCAGAAGGGCTCCCAGAGCCTCAACCTGCACAGCTCTGAGTCTTACTTTCCTCCTTCAGATTCCAACTTCCATTTTTAATTGCCCATAGGTGAAATTAATTAGGTTCTGTCATTCTAATGACTCACGGGGGTAGCATATTTTTTCTCTAAATGCAGATCTTCTTTTGAAGGACTGTGTCTTTATCTTTTGCAGAAAAATCACTAAATTAAAAGAATTGCCATGTTAAATTGCAGATTAAGGAGAAACGTAATTAGAAGGAATGAGAGCAGTTGTGTTTGGTGCTTTTGTTCTTAACATTTTTTTTCTTAGGCTGCCGAATCACTGCACTTGGAGTTTGTATATTTGTATTTTAGGTGAAATGATTTGCCTAATTAAGCCTGTCACTCATCACCACCTGTTCTCTCTAAGATATATGGCTATATTATTAAGCTTGCCAGCAAATGTGTAAATTATTTCAGTGGGGAATTACATTGTTGACTAGGACGTTACTAGTTTTTATCCAATTTATCTGGTATGAAACCGATTTTTTTTTCCCAATAAAGCTAAACAGCAGTTCATTAAGTTTCTTCATTTAATCACTTATTGAGCACCTGTTATGTTGCCGGTAATGGGCTAGGTATGGGGGAAGGGGCACATGATACAGCCCCTACCCTCAGGGGGCTCACCGGGAGCCAGGGTAGGACATGCAGTTAGGGTGCTAAGATCAAGGTGAGTCTTGGGAGAGGTGAGGTCCAGGAAGGCTTCCTGAAATAGGTGACCTCTGGAGGGTAAGTGGTATTAGTGAGGTGAAGAGATTGGTGGACCTGAGGCTGGACAAGCAGCCGGGTCCTAGAGAGCCTTTTGGGTTGTGCCGAAAAGCTTGGGCTCCCTCCACAATCATGTTCTGTGCTCCATGCCTCTCTGCTCACCTTCTGTGTCGGGATGTCGATTGTAGAGATTTATATTGGCAGAAATCCCCCAATCCTGATTTTAGCCAGTGGAGCCCCAGGATGTCAGGAGTGAAAGTGACTTATAATTCATCTGGTCCCTCGGTCTCCTGAGCCTGTGGCAAAACTAAGCCTAGAACCTCACTTCCAGCTTAGTCCCCTTCCTATGCCAGGGCAAGCCGCAGCCCTTCAACGCTGGCAGCCCTATGGGCCAGGATGCCTGCTGAGTTGTATCCTCTCTATTCCTGACAACCAGAAAATTAGCAGCAGGGAGGCATCATGGAGAAGTGCAGGCTAGTCCCATGCTCCCTGACCACATCCCCTTCTGTGCCCATCCCAATGGGGGCATCACCCTCCCCCAAGCCAGAAATCTGGGCATCACACAGCAGTTATCCCGGACTCACTCCCACAAGTAGTCAAGCTTCTACATCCCTCCCGTCATTGAGGGGGTCAGCCTCCATCACCTTTCCCTGACTGGTCTTCCCGTCTTCAGGATTGACCCCAAACCCACCCTCCACCAGCACTCAGAGAGGTCTCTAAAGCCCATTCTCTGATTATCCCCATCTATAAGTTCAAGTCCAAGCTCTTTAGAAAGGGGCTCCAGGATGACATGGCCCCAATTTGTCTGTCTAGCCCCAGTGCTCTCCCCTGCCCAAGGTCACCCATGGAGGGCTCTGCAAAGTAGGGGCTCGGGTAAGAACCTGCTTCACCTCTTTCTCTCCTTCTCCCAACCCCCTGTCCAAGACCATATGTCCCATGATTGGTTGCCATCAGGGTGCCGTCATTCAGCCAGAACCCCACTGGGAGATCCAGGCTACTGGAAGGCCAGCGAGGGGTAGATGCTGGTGGTGATGTGTGTGCTAGGGCCCCAGCTCCAGGTTTTAGGCCACTATCACAAAAGCCCCCTTATTAGCTGATGGGAAAGGGCCTTCTCACTCTCCAGCCCCAGGACCTGTCCCCTGGGAAGGCCTTGAGGTCATTGCTGTCTGTGTGTAGTTGGACACAGGAAAGAACTGTGGCCAGAAGGAAGGGCAGGAACCCCCAGCGAGTCCTCACTCTGCCTCCTCTCCACACCACCAGCCCTGGCATCACGGAGCTGTGGGTGTCTCTAGGTTAAGGCATGGCCTCCATGCTGCTTTCTGGAAGCTTAATTAGGGCCTTTGGTGAGTCTTCCTCTCATAGGTAAGGCCAGCCCATCCTTCCAGCGCTTAGGTCAACAGCCTGTGGTCACCAGTAGTCGTCCTTCTCTGATGCTGCACTTCAGCCTGTGGTCACCCGTAGTCCTCCTCTCATGGTGCACTTTGCATGCACAGGCGAGTCCTGCCATCTCTGCCTGCAGAATGTGGCTGGATCTGACCACTGGCGGGCACTGCCTCGCTGCCCTCCTGTGTGCCCGTGTACACATGCTCTCTGTCCCTCTAATTAGCCAGCTATACTTTCTAGAGCAGTTTTAGGTTCACAGCAAAATCAGACAGAGTCCAGAGTGTTCCCATACACCCCTTGCCTCCATCTCTTTTCAGCACAGCAATCCTGTAAGGAAGCGCCCAGTCAGAACGGCTCTCCACGTCTCTCAGAACAAAGCCAGAGTCCTTCCCAAGACTAGGAAGCCCAGCTTCCTTCCCAACTCCCTTCCAGTCACTCTGGATCATTTTGTGTCTCACTCTAGGCACAGTCCCACCCCAGGGCCCTTGAACTTGTTCTTCCTTCTGCCTGGAGTGTCCTTCCTACAGATGTTCCTTCCTCCCTTCAGATATTTATTCAGATGTCACCTTTGGAGAGGGCTTTCCTGCCCTGCTGTATTTTTCTCAGTGGCACTTGTCCCCAGCCACTGATAGGCAGATTGATTTATTGCCTGTCTCTCCTCACGAGGACCCTGCGCTCCATAAGGCAGGTATCTCTGTCTGTTGTGCCCATCACTATTTTCCCAGCCTTGAAGTGTGCCTAGTACATGTGGATAAGTGGTTAGGAGTGTCATCGCGGGTGGACTACCTGTTGGTGTCACTGCTGGGTAGCAGGCTGGCCACACGCTCAGCACAGTCCAGAAAGTGGGTGGGTCCGGTGTCTCTGGAGCCTTCTGTTGGCAAGAGCCTCCCTTCCCACTGTTTTCCAAAGTGGTTGATGGAGAAAGAGTGTCTTAGAGGGACAGAAATGCCCCACAGTCCCTGATAGGGAAGATGGTTCAGTGGCTGAGATGTAGAACAGGTTCATCACGCTCCTCGGTTTCAGCAGACAGCACGTTACCCCGCCAGCGCTGAGGTTTCTCCAGGACCTTCTGTGAGCATGGGGGTTGATTTTCGTGTGTCTGGCCGGGCTTGGAGGATAGCTTGCCACAATCATGCTTGCTGGTTAGAGGAGAGGTTTATGCCTTTGTGTGGCACAGCCAGGGACATGTTTGTGAGCCTGCAGCTGGCCTCGGCTTCAGGAACCTTCCTCTGCAGGCTCTGGCCTCGTTTCTTAGGCACCCTCTGTGTGTCAGGCGCTGGAGTATCCTCTTATCTGACCTTCACAGCAGCCTGGGGACTCAAAGAGGTTCAATAGCGTAGCCAAGGCTCGCAGCTAATCATTGGCAGGCTTAGGAGAAGAACTCAGGTTGGTTCAGTTGCTTCTGTGAGGTGACTAGTACTGTGTGTGCATTGAGCAGACACAATAAGTGTGATTTATAATAACAGCACAGACTACCTTCCACAGGTACAGGCACAGTGCTAAGATTTCTAGGTGTGTCATCTGCTTTAATCCCCATGAGATGGGTGCTGTCATTATCCCTGTTTTTCAGAGAAGGAAACAGGCCCAGCTGGATAACTGGCAAGGTGGTCTCCAGGAACCCTCTGGCAACTCCAGTTTTAGCTCAGCGCTTTCTGCTCTTTGTGGTGTCTCCAGGGTCTCCCTCAAGGAGCATCCTCCCCCAGCCTGTGGGGGTGAACGATGCTCCCACAGGCCCAGGGCGGGGAGAAGAGCATGTGGAATGGCCCTTCCTGTGCTATGGGCACTGCTTTAGCCTCACCTGGGCGCTGGGTCCTGGGCCCATGCGGGGGATCTGAATACAGGGGATGTAGCATGACCCCTAAGTGGCACTCTATAGGAGTATCCCAGGGAAAGGGGCAGATGTGGCCAGTATGGCCTGAGGTGGGATGAGAGGAGGAGAGGAGCCACTTGGAGGCAGATTTTTGGCCCAATACAAGAAACAGCTTTTTCCCCTGAGAACTGTCCAGAGGACAGAGTTCCCCCAAGGCAGTGCCCCCCGAAGGCAGTGCCATGCCCCCCGCTAGAGGCCACAGGGAGGTTTCTGTGGGGGTAAGGCTGAGCCCAGTGGCCTCTGGAGGCTCAGCCAGCCCCTCACACGCACCATTGGGCTGTGATCACGTGGGTGTCCTGTCTTAGGAAGCCAAAATCTTTTGTGCCATGTTATGTCATTGCTTGAAACCCTTCCTCCTGCAAGCTGTAAATTGCCAACTAGACCAGCTGAACGTTACCCTTCTGTGCCTCACAGTAGCTCCCTGGGCTGAGCTCTGCTAACCCTGCACTTTCTCTCTCTCCCCACAGCACAGTTTAATGGCAACGAGAAGCGGCAGTCATCCCCCTCACCTTCGCGGGACCGGCGGCGCCAGCTTCGTGCCCCTGGAGGGGGCTTTAAGCCTATCAAACATGGGAGCCCTGAGTTCTGCGGGATCCTAGGAGAAAGGGTGGATCCTGCCGTCCCCCTGGAGAAGCAAATGTAAGTTCTTGGGAGCAAAGCCCAACCTCACCTCCCAGTTCACCTAGTTTTTGCCCTCTCTTTCATGTCATCTTCTTTTAAAAATCCACAGACTGGGCCGGGCGTGGTGGCTCACACCTGTAATCCCAGCACTTTGGGAGGCCGAGGTGGGTGGATCACTTGCCTAGGAGTTCAAGACCAGCCTGGACAACATAGTGAGAGCCTGTCTCTACAAAAAAAAGAAAAAAAAATACAAAAATTAACCAGGTATGATGGCATGCACCTGTAGTTCCAGCTACTTGGGAGACTGAGGCAGGAGACTGAATTGAGGCCAGGAGGTTGAGGCTGTGTTGAGCTGTGATCACACTACTGCAGTCGAGCCTGGGCAACAGAGCGAGACCCTGTCTCAAAAAAAAATAAATAAATACCCAGACTGAGGCATGCTAGAACTCCAGGGGCCTTCTAGCCTGCCCCTACCTCCCCCTCTGTGTATACATGGGCAGGTTAAGGCTCTTGGAAGGTTGAGGCTCCCACCCAGCCAGTGGTAGGCCCAGGATTAGAACACATACCTCCTAGCTTCTAGCCCTGAACTTTTTCTCTCCACACTGTGTTGCCACCCTTACCTTCAATGGCAGGAGGAACTGCAAAAGAGTCTACAGGGTGCACTCCTCCTTTTTACATCCTAGTTTCTCATTTCATCATGCAGCAAATAAGTCCTTGGAAAAACTAAATATAAACTAAATCCTTTCCCCTAAGTGTAAAACTATGTGTAAATTAGATTTATTTTCTAGCTACAGTCGTGTTCTTGCTCCATGTCTGCTTGATACTGTTAGAGTTGGGCGAGGCCTTTCCACTCTTGATGCGGGTTTTCCCAGCCCCTTTGCCCAGAGATTTCCCACCTCCAGTCAGTGGCCAAGTCCCATCCATGCTGCCCCCAAGGTCCCACATCCCTTTCCGTTCTTGCTGCCCCCCAGCACTGTGCAGGGCCGGGCCCTTTATTGCCCCTCCCCTTGGCCATGGTTATCATCTCCCTGCTCTGCCAAATCATCCCTGGGTGCAGGGTCCTGCTCTGCTCTGAAACCTTCAGTGGCTCCACATTACCTCCAGGATAAAGTCCCACCTCCCTAGCCTGCCATTCATTCTGTGAATTGTCTGCAAACTATGTTTTCAGTTTCTAACCGTGTCTCATAACTGGACTAGAATGAGCTTCTCCAGGAACTTGACAAAGCAGGTGCAGGACTTGTGCTGGTGTCCTCAGGTGTCTTGTCTGCTTAAACAAGCAAATGTGCAATAAAGGGTTGTCAGCCCATTGCCTAGATGAGAACATCAGGGCCCAGAGTGGTGCAGAGCCTTGGCAAGGACTCACGGCTCAGAGTGCCCCCAACCTCATGACCCAGACCCCACCCTCTCCCCTCCCCTCTCCTCCACTTACTCTTTGCTCATTCCCACCCTTTGCCTGGTATGGAGTAGGCACACATGAGGCCACAAGACTCACTGACAACCACACATGGTTCGTGAGCCTTCCCTGGTGTGTGTCACGTACTGTATTTGTCTTGGGGATTCTGGTCTTGGCATGGCCGGCAGGGCATACCCTCACAGGAAATTCTCACTCGGTGAGCAGGATGCAGGGTTTTCCGAATGACATCATATGCTGCCCTTTTAAGCAAGTGCTGTCACCTCTGGAGGCTTCTGCCACCTTTGTGAGTGCTCCCAGCCGGTGCTGTGAATCATTTCTCACAGCCATGCAGATCGTCTGACAGGTTTTGCTTATTTCTGATCAAACTGTGCACTTTTAATCAACAAACTGTGACTCACAGATGTTCGGCGTGCGTCCTGACCAGCAGTGGCCAGGTCTGCCTGGGTCAGTCTGGGCCCAGCCTGCCCACTCCCACCCCCAGACTCAGCCTTCATCTCAAGGTGGGAGGGTTGGGCTCTCTTTCCTTTCCCATTCCCACTTGATGGGGCCCCCAGCCAAGTCCAGAGGCATGACTGGCTTTTCCTCCCCCATCGTCTCATCTCCCCACGATTAACTCCCCAAGATGAGTCAGAAGTCCTGACTCATCACCCGAGGGGTTTGCTTAAGGTAAAATCCCATTTCGGTTAGAGCCTGATGACCCCAGTAAAGAGGATCACCTAGTCCCCCACCTGAACTGATGCTGTTCTAGAGTTCAGGAGGCGCCTTCCAGTCTGAACCTCTCCTCCACCCTAGCACAGAGGGAGGTAGGAGGGGAGACCGAGGCACTGGGGTGTGCCCCAGGTCACACGGGGTGGCCATGGATGGGCAGGCACACATCTGCCTAGGTGCTCCTACCACCTGCCTTCCCTCCTGGGACAGCAGAAAGGTGCTCCAGTGCTCAGGGTCTGTCCCCACTGCCTCCTGGAGGCAGCCCCACCTGCACCCCTCTTCCTTCCTCCATCATTACCATCAGTATATGAACGTGTCCCAGTAACAAACTTTGCCAACATAAGTAAAAAAAAAAAACCTTGACTCAACATTCCTCTCAACTGCCCCTGCTGAGAACAGAAACTCCATGAGGGCAGGAACTTGTCTAGGTCACCACTGCATCCCCTGTGCCTAGAACAGTGCCCAGCAGGTAACAGGTGCTGAATAAATAGCTGTTGCGTGAATGAACAGTCTCCAAAGAGCTGCCAGCACTTCTCCCCTCTCTGTCACCTCCCCTTCTCTCTCACCCACCACAGCCAGCCTCCTTTTTCTGCCCCGGTCCCCAGACGACCCCCTCTGTCCTCCGTGGCAGTCACCACAGTTGACCACTCTCCTTCTGGGCCTCTGGGCCTGGTGCTCCTCCTGCCTCCCTGGCCACTCTTCCATCTCCTCTGCTGGCTCCTTGCCTCTGCTTGACCTGAAGGTCTGACTTTCCAGGGCTCAGTCTCCAACTACGTGCTCTCCCTGGGTTGTCTCTCCCAGGATCCTAGTGGTGACTCACAGACATGTAGCATCAGCCCACACCTCTCCCAGAGCTCCTGACTCCTACGTCCAGTTGCTTCCTGGCATCTCCATTTGGCTGACAAGTGGGCATCTCAAACTTAATGTGTTCAAAACTGGGCTCCTGATCTTCTCCTCGAAACTTGCCCCTCCCCCAGCTTCCGCACCTCCATAAACGGTGTCACATCTAACTAGTTATGGTTCAAGCCACAAACCCGTCATCATCTTGATTCCTTTTTTTGCCGGACACCAGCATCTGTTGCTTTACCAAATTCTGCCAGTGCTCCCTCCTAAGTACCACCAGAATCCATTATTCCTCCATCTCTGCGGCCACCTGCCGTGTGAACTACTTCACTAGCATCCTGACTTGTCTCCTCTGGCCCCTCCTCACGCCAACCTGACTGACTGTCTGTAAGATTTCCCAGGGCAAGTAACATCTCTTAAAACTCTTATTGCTGTGGATGAAATCAAACTTCTCCTCCTGGGCACAAGAACTGGGCCTACCTCCTGCCCGCTGCTCACAGTGCCTGGGTCATTCTTGCCGCCTTTCTGCTCTGTGAGCACTGCAAGCGCATTCCTACCTCAGGACCTTTGCACTTGCTGCCTGTTTTGCAGAGATGTTTTCTTTGGCTCTTCACGATTGGCTCCTTCTCATGTTCTCAGGCCACATGTCATCTCCTCAGGGGCCTCCCCTGCCCATTCATTTCTAAGCGGGCATCTCATACAGCCCCAGTCACTGCCTTATCATAACCCCAGGATGCCTGCATAACCCTTGTCACTATCTGGAATTGTTTCCTGTATCTCTCTGTTGACTCTTCCTCTCCCTTCATCAGCCCCGTGAGATCAAGGATATAGTGAGTGGTGAGTAAATACTGGATGAGCTCATGGGTATTGGCTGGGGTGAAGGACGATAGTTGAGTCTCCCTAATCCCCCTGGTTCTGACCTGACTGGCCAACCCCACGAGGTCCAGCCCATCCCTGAGATGACCTCCTGCCTGGATTCTCTTTCCAGGTGAAGCAAGGCCTACGTGGGCCCAACAGTTGGCTGTAGCCCCCCACAGGACCGCCCAGCCCAGCCTGACTCCTAGTCTCCAGCCTCCTGCTGACAGGCTGGCCAGTGCCGGCCCGGCCCCCAGATCCAGCACCCTCTGCTCCTTCTCTCCTTTGTTCCTCAGCCCCTTGTCCCCTGCCCTTGACTCTGTGTGGAGCAGTTGGGGAAGGGACTGGTAGCTTATCCTGTTAACCACCTGGGATTCCCCTTAACAAGAATCCAGAGGCCATGCCCCCATCTCAGAGCAGAGCTTGCTCCTGAGCTCAGGGAGGGTGGATGGCAGGCAGCACTTCCCCAGAGACCACTTCTAGGCCTTTCCCTGAGGACGGCTCAGCTTCAAATGGCTGGGACTTGTTTTCCTAGTAAAATGTTTTTGTCAGCTCACTGAGGGTGTGTTACACAGTGAAATCTCCCAGAGGACAGCCTTCCCAAACCTGTTAACTCTTACTTCCGAAGTCAATGCTGTCTTTGTTTCTCCTGATTACAGCCATGTAGCCTTTCTAAAGCATAACATGGACCTTCATGTCTCAGGAAATGTTTTACTTGTGGTGTTTTAATTGTGGCAACCCATGCATACCCCAACTTCACATTCCTCTTTACATATTTCTCTGTACCTTTAGAAAGAAAGGGGTCTGTGGTCTGCATGCTCTTCCTGCCTTCTCCCCTGGAAAGTCTCCCCTCCGGATGTCCAGCTTGGTGGCCACTGCCTGGACTGTCCACCACTTGGCCACATTCCCACTGGACAAGGACACTCACATTTACTCTCCAGTCCTTGACTTTAAAGTTGATTTTTTTTCTTAGGGTTTTAATTTTGCTGTGGCCACTGCTACTAACTGTTGAGCTCTGCCTCATGAGTGGCAGGAATTGCATGGGGACGGGTGGTTTGGGTTTTTCTCTGAGGAGAATGTCAGTGCCGGAACTCTCAGAGGCACGGTTTGCAGGACACTCTGAGACAGGCACCAGGAGGCAGCATCCCCACTTGCACCTGGAAATGTAATGTAAAATGCAGCCTCTGGATGGGCAGCGGCCTGCAACCATTGTAGGTGGGGATGTCACCACACAGTCTGCGAGGGCAATCTCTTTCTGCTAACGCTGCAGCTGCCGTCGGTTAAGACTCGCCCCACATCAGGCTCTACATTGGCCCTTCCTGCGGGGCCACTTGTTACATTCCCACAACCCAAGAGAGGTTGGCATGATCCTCGCTTAATAGAAGCCGCCTGGTCAGTGGCTTGCCTGGCCAGCAGGCAGCAGAGCCACCATTCGGAGCAGCATCCATGTCTCTGTGGACAAAGCACACTCCAACCACAGTACCGCCCCGTGCCTCTGCCTCTCCTGGCTGAGTCTCACCCCCTCCACTACCGCGCAGAGACCATCATGTAAACAGGAATGTATTTTGAGTGTGTCCACTCATGGGCAGTGAGGATCTTTATTCTTTCCCTGCAGTTTTACCGTCAGCTCTTCCAGTCATGAAAATCAGTGAGCCAGACATGGCGGTGCGTGCCTATAGGCCCACTACTTGGGAGGCCGAGGCAGGAGGATCCCTTGAGCCCAGGAATTTAAGGCTGCAGTGAGCCGTGATCACACCACTACACTTCAGTCAGGGCAATAAAGTGAAAACCTGTCTCTAAAAACCAAAAAAAAAAAAGGAAACACACACACACAAGGAAAATCAGGCTGGATGCAATGGCTCACGCCTGTAATCCTGACACTTTGGGAGGTGGGGTGGGAGGATCACTTGAGCTCAGGAATTCGAGATTAGCCTGGGCAACATATTAAGACCCTGTCTCTAGAAAAGATTTTAAAATAGCCAGGTATGGTGGCACGCACCTGTAGTCCCAGCTACTCTGGAGGCTGGGGGTTGGGGGGATTGCTTGAGCCCTGGAGTTTGAGGCAGCAGTGAGCTATTATCGCGCCACGGCACTCCAGCCTGGGTGACGGGGTGAGACCCTGTCTCAAAAAAAAGAAAGAAAAGCATTGCTCCCATTTCCTCCTCTGATGGGAGATGAGGGATGAGTCGGGCCCTCTGCACGGCACTCCTCCCCTCAGATTCTGCCGCCTGCCCTCCTCTGGCATGCATGGCATCTGGGAGCAGTAATGCTGGGATTCCCACATGCCCAAGTGGTGCTAGAGCCGTCTGGCAGGAGCATGGACAGCTACCTCCCTGCCCACCATCCATGTCTGCACACATCCCTGAGTCAGAGCGTGGCCCTCCCATCAGCACCCTCTGATGGTTTCCATGTTGCTCAAACAGAGAAAAGCCCCTGCTGCAGCCCCATTTCGGGACGTCTTGCACACCCCTTCCCCTTGCTGCTTCTGTCCATGCTGGCCCCTAGCTGTTTCCAGAATACGCTAGGCAGCCTTCTGCCTTGGCCTTCGCTGCTGATTTGTCTACCAAGAAAGCTCCTCTCTGGCTTCCCTCCTTGCCTCCTGCAGGTCTGCACTGAAATGTCACTTTTTTTTTCTTTCTTCTTTTTTTTCCATTTTCTTTTTTCTTTTTCTTTTTTTTTTTTTTTTTTGAGATGGAGTCTTGCTGTGTCTTCCAGGCTGGAGTGCAGTGGCATGATCTTAACTCACTGCAACCTCCGCCTCCCAGGTTCAAGTGATTCTCCAGTCTCAGCCTCCTGAGTAGCTGGGATTACAGGCGCCCACCACCACGCCCGGCTAATTTTTGTATTTTTAGTAGAGATGGGGTTTCGCCATGTTGGCCAGGCTGGTTTTGAACTGACCTCAGGTGATCCAACTGCCTTGGCCTCCCAAAGCGCTGGGATTACAGGCGTGAGCCACCTCACCTTGAGAAGGCTTCCCTGGCCACCCTGCCTGAAATAGTCCCTCACCAGCCCCCAGCTCCATGAGCCTATGCCACTTCATCTCCATGATGCCTGTCCTCACACTGTGCTCTGTGATGACTTGAGTGTCTGTGGCCTGACTCCCTGCACCAGAGCATAAGCTTCCCGTGAAAAGAGACTGGGTTTTGTTCACTGTGCTCTCCCCAGGACCCGGCAGCAGCAGGCGGGCAGTGGGTACCCATGGAATGAACCAGTGCATGCCTGCTTGTACAGGGAGGCTCTCTGCGGGTGCTGAGTCTCCCAAGGCAGGTCAGGGCCATGGGAATCCCATCGCGCTGGGCTCTGACCACTCTCTGCCCTCTCCACAGATGGTATCACGGAGCCATCAGCAGAGGAGACGCCGAGAACCTGCTGCGACTCTGCAAGGAGTGTAGCTACCTTGTCCGGAACAGCCAGACCAGCAAGCATGACTACTCCCTCTCCCTGAGGTGAGTGCCGCCCCGAGCACCCCCAGCCCTCCTCGGCAGCCTCTGCGAGCGCAGCCGGCCACCGTGTCTGTGGCAGAAAAACCCGCCAGTGTCCCCTGGGAAACTTGCCAGCACACGTTATTTTAGGCCTGGGTTTTTCAATTTGATCCTATTCTCCTGGGATACAGAGGAGTTTTTATGTTCACTGTTGCTGCCCTTCCAGAAGATGAGGGGCCTTTTTCTAGGATTTTGTATTAACTATCCAAGAAAGCTTTCACATCTGCTGTGAGCCGGGGTGGTACGAAGTTCCTAGCATGCCTCATCCTGCTCTCAAAGCCCACGACGATGGTCCTTTGATTTTTTTGAGGAACATATCGTCGCCAATTTGCAGATGAGTAAACAGGTTCACGGAGGTGGGTGTGGCTGGCCCAAGTGGCTGGGCCAGGACTTGTGACCAGCCCATGACTCTCTGCCACTGTGAGCATGACCTAGCTCTGGCTTGCGGTTTGTGTGGGCCTGAGTTTGGGTGTTGCACAAAGTCTAGGAGGAGCACTGGGAAGAGGTGGTGTTACTGCCTATCGCAGCTTTGGAAACTTTCAGGTCTTTCTGACCTGTGAGGCATTTCTGTCAGGATGGGCAGGCCCAGAAATAAGAAAAGCATGTTTTAGTTGGGTGCTATTGCTGGACGGGACCCAAAAGAATGCCTAAACCCATTTTACAGAAAAACTGAGGTCCAGAAAAAGAAGGGATTTGCCAAGGACATATAGAGAGCTGGTGACATAACTGGGGTGTAAACCCAGGCTCTTCAGCCAGCACAGATCCCCCAGAAGCAGTGAATCCCTCTGCCTGGCATCCTCTCTGTCCCACTTACCGCTGTTAGAGGCCATGGGAGGGAGAGCCGGCCTGCAGGGACACGGTTGTCAGGAGAGCTCACACACATGCCGGCCCTGTAGACAGAGGCTTCAGTAAAACCAAGGAAGGTGAAACTGGCCTGTGTTCTCTGCTCACGACTGACCCCTCCCCCCACAACTTCTGGGCTTTGCCCTGAGAGAGACAGTGACAAACTGCAGAGTCAGGAGGGCGGCAGGCATGGGCAGAGGCAGGTAGGGCAAGGCACACAGGCTGTGGGAGTCCACCTAGAGAAGAGAGAGCATGTGGACACGGGGTGGGGACCATGCATCTCTCAAGGACTGTCAGGGCAGAGGGAGCTGATGTACAGACAGGGGACTTGTGGGCAGACAATGCATAGACAGATTCCAGCTCTGCAAGAGGAAAAGTTTCCTAATAGCCAGAGCAGATCAAGAATTAGAGCTACCCAAGCTGCCTCAAGGTAGTGAGCCTGTCATCACTAGGGGAATAAGACCAAAGGCTGGACCACTGCCTAAACCAGAGAGGATGCAGAGGGAACTTCTAGCCTAGCGGGTAGGGCACTCAAGACAAACAAGAAATAGGTACCTTGCTCTTCTCTAGGCTGCTGGTGCCTGCATAATTCGTTGTCTGCCATCAGACCTGATGGCTGAAAGAATCGGGTCAGTTATGGCAGCCGAGGAAAGTTCAATATGCTAAACTGCAACTGGGGCCGGGCAGAAGGTGGCCAAAGCCAGAGGAGCGGAATTGGACTGAGGAGAGGACAGCAGCAGGGGGGCGTGCACACCACCAGGCATGCTGATGGGGCCATCAAGGTGAATGGTGCTCTTCTGGGCTGTGAGAGGTAAAGGAAGCAGGTGGCATCAGCGACAGGACTCAAGTGTCACCAGCCTTCCCTGCATACTGGGCTTCCTCAGTGCTCCAGGGACCCTCTGGGGTGCTGGTCATTGGGGGTTATCACTCTGTCTCCCTCCCCATCTGTCTCTGAGTTCCTCAGTGAACCTCATTCCTCCTGGAATCCCCGTGGCTGGGGGCCTGGCCTGGAGGGGCCTCCACGAAAGGATCAGGGAGGACAGGACAGAGCACTCCATGCCAAACCGGGCCGTTCATCCTAGAGGACCAGAGCCCCATCAGCTGCTCCAGCTTCCTGTTCTTCTAGGCAGAGGTGGGGAAGTACTGAGCCCTTGAACTAAGGTCCTGCCGGGCTGGCACTGGGGCCCTGTGGTGACTCCAGTGCAGACCTGCCTTCGAGGGAACAGCAGCCTATTGAGTATCCAGGATGTGCCAGGGCTGAGGTCCCAACCAGGGAGCACACAAGGAACCTAGACCCAGTGGCAGAAGTAATAGTGCCAGCTGTCTCCTGCAGAATACATTTCTCAGTCCCCTGTGCATTGTACCCTCAGTTATAAAAGCAGGCCCAGATGTCAGCTCACAGTGGGGCTCAGAGGGCCAGAAGCGTCATTTCCCCTCCTCACTGGGGTGTGCCATTCCCTAGAGGGTAGGACCACCCTTGACGACACGTTGATTCTGCCCTCACAGCGTAGGCATGCAGTCCCAAGGGCCCAGCTGTGTTTGGTGGGGAAGGTAGAGGACGGGCCTCGTGCCTGGCCTCCTGCACTCACTGGCCTTGTGGCCTTGGCCAGTCACGCCATAGGGGCCTCAGTGTCCTCATCTGTGCACTGCGTATGGCAATGAGCTGCTGACAGACAGTGTTCCCAGCCCAGACAGTGCTGTGTCAGTGTTATCTAGTGTGATTCCCATAACCCTGCCCCTGTTTCCTGGGGTCAGCCCTGCAGTTTGATTGAAGTCCATTTTTAAGAGCCACAGGAAGGACCCATTGTCCAGAATTCTGGATAGGAGTCCTGTCCTGCCACTCGCTGCTCCCTGTGTGACCAAGTTTCTTCCCCTACATCTGTCCAGTGGGGAGTTGGGCTTTGATGGGCTCTAAGGCCACCTCCACCAATGACATCAGGGGTTCTCTAACTCTCCCCATGTCCCCATCTGTGGGCTGGACCACCTGCACCTCCCAGGTGAGGGGAGGACGTCGAGGGAGACTGGGAAGGCAGCCCAGCAGCCTCTACCATCAACTCTGTGTTTGCCTTCCCGCACCCATCCCATGGACCTCATTATCAGGAACTGTCATTTGGGTGACCCATCTGAGCCCAAAGGAGCTGGAGGTGAGGTCTAGTTTTGCATGCAGATCTAGAGGCATTAGATCACCACCTCCAAAGGCCGGGGTTGTTCTCACCTGCCCAGCTTTCCCCTGAAGAATGCCAGAATTGGGGAGGTGGGCTGGGCTGGGCATCCTATGGCTGAGCCAGGCAACCCACTCAGGGGAGATGAACTTGCTTCCCAGAGGAGCCCCAGCTCCCGATGGCCAGTCCAGCTGCTGGTTGGGGAGCAATGCCCTGGAATGAATCACCTCAACCGCAAGGGGAACCGTCCTGGTACTGCATATCCTGGCTGCCTGGAGCAAGCACCATCTTTGCCAGCCACCAAGTGAGGGGCCTGATCTCTCAAATACTCAAGGCTTGCCTGGCAGGGGTGGGTGGGGAATGGCATTCTTGACACTGTCAGGAGCTTGGTGCAAATTGACACTGGAATTCCAGCTATGCTGGTTATCCGCCTCTGGCCATTTTCATGTGAGTTTGTCCTGCCCTGAGGGTGTTCTAGGATGAAGAAAGGATCTGGGGGAGTTCAGCCTCAGAGGACACCCCGTGCACCCTTCCCTCAGCAGATATTTTTCAGAGCCCTCCGTACCAGCCACTGGGCTGGGCATCAGAGAGAGTCCAGAGGTGAGAACAGTCAGGCCCAGCCTCCAGGGGCTCAGCCTGGCCAGGCCAGCCTGTGTCTTGTTGTACACAGGTCTGCACAGGGGGGTCTTGGGAGCCCAGAGCTGGCATGTGGGTGGGCAGTCCCTGCCACAGAGAGTCAGGAGAAGCTGCAGGGAGAAGGCTGCACCTGAACCTTCAAGAGAAGGCAGGTGTTCCCCAGACAGGGACGGCTAGCAGGGCAGCTCAGGTAGAGGGGACAGCCCAGGCAGAGCCATGGAGGTGCAGGAGAGCCTTGGCGGGTCTCGGGGGCTCCCAGAAGAGTTGAGATGCAGTTCTCAGTGATGGGGCCACTGACGTGCAGGTTGCACTCACCAAGGTCCTGCGAGGCATTTTCTTCCTCATCTTAGGCTGGGGGAAGCCGAATGCCTGCCAGGGTCCACAGCAGAGCCAAGACTGGAGTGGAGGCCATGGGACTCCCAGCCATGTCCTCCCATCTCCTCCCCGGCATTCCTTACACTCAGTCGAAAGGTCTTCTGACGTCAGACCTAGAAGTGTTTGAGACCCATTTACTCTAGTCCCTTTGCCTCATGGGGGTGGGGAAACTGACACCCAGAAGGGATTTAGGGTTGGTGTAAGGCTGCCCGGCTGGCAGCTGACCACTGACCACAGAGATGGTGACAGCTTCCCACTGTGGTGACCAGACAGGTCCCTGGATCAGCCCAAGCTGCCACCTGTCGGCATCCCACCCCCCAACTTTCTGCACTTGCAGTGACCCACAGTGGCGCCTGCACACCTCATGACATCTCAGAGCCCCCTCCATGGCAGGGGCCCCTACCTGTGAATCGTCTTCGGCGATTCTGCCTGATTGCCCTTGAACACTTTCCTCATCCCCTCCTGCCTGCAGAACTCTCTCCCTTGGCTGCCCGCCAACTCATTGACCTGGCACCCACCACTGGCCCCTGGATACTCTCACTCCAGCCTCAGGGAGCAAAGGGTTGAGCTGAGAAATTGGCAAGAAAATGTCAAACTCTTAACACAGTTTCCTGTCTCTGGAAAGGCTGGCAGTGGAGGAAAGGGATGAAAAGCCTTGAAAAAAATCTCATTAAAAGGCTCTTCAGGCACTTTGGCCTGCGAATGAGTCTTGGCAAGTTCTGGTTTGGTGAGTTTTTGCAAAGGAATGTGGACAAGATGAGGGAAGGACTTCAAAGACTGGGGGACTTCTAGCTGGGGGCAGACAGCAGGGAGGCGGGGTGAGTGCTGTGGCCTCCAGTTCTGCTGGGCAGGCTCTGCCCTCATGGAGCAGGGATCCTGTGTGACCCATGGGAAGGGGCACCGAGTGGCACCTCTGAGGCCTCTGCAGTCAGCAGCTTTGACAAGGACCCAGCCCCTGCTTGGTTGAGGTGGTGAGAGTCCCAAAGCCAGTGGGGCTAATGGCTGCATACAGTCCTTACGGAGGGACCTTTGGCTTTCTAATCCCCGAAGGCAAATTGCCTGGCATCTTGCAAACGTGACCTAAGGAGACACCTCTGGGGTCTGGCCTGTTTCCATCATGCTGTGGCACTTGGTTGTTCACAGCCTCTCCAGCCCAGCCAATGAGCTCTGCCCCGTCCAGTGTCAGTTACTGAATGAGCTGTAGCCCTGCAGGAGCTCACAGCCTCACAAGGAAAGGAAGACACTTACACCTATAACTCACGGAGAATGTGTTCAGGGCTGCCCGAAGTAGAAAGTACTCTTTCTATGAAAGTTTCCAGGCTATGAAAGAGGGAAGGAATCAGGAAGGGGAATGTGAAGGATGAGCAGGTCTTAAACCCATGCACAGGGGAGAAAAGGCAGGCTGCAGAGAGAATGGGCCCAGAGACAGGGCAGGGCGGAGCTTGCCTAAGAACAACAAATGACACATTCATCTGAGCCCAAGAGAGATGTAGCCCTGATCACCAGGTGGAGGGGTCGGGGCTTTACCTGTGAGGCAGCAGGGAGTTCTCAAGGTTTGAAACAGGATGCAGTGCTATTGTCAGGGCTGTATTCTAGAACCATGAGTGAACTAGGGGGCCCATGAGTACTGGCGAGGAGGGATGCCAGCTTCTGCCTCCCTGTCCCCCCAGTGATCCCCCCCTTCCCCTCCATGTCCCTACACATGCCACGTGAACTGGCACAGACCGAGAGCTGGGGAGGGGCCTGATGTAGGAGTCCAGAAGGCGAACAGCACGTGGGCAGGCATCCCAGGAGACCGAGGCAGCCCTTTTCAAGATGGAGAGGGACAACACAGGCTCTGCAGTCAGATATCTGAATCCAAGTCCTGCTTCCATCTCTTTCCCCGCACCTGATGCTGGGCAAGGTACTGCACCTTCCTGAGCATCACGGGATGCTTGCCTCAGCAAGAAGTAAGGCTTGGCAGATAAGCCCTACACATAGATGGTGCTCAGTATATACCAGTCTCTGCTTCTCCCAGCTTTTCCAGAGCCTTCAGAAATCACCACGGAAGCAGCAGAGTAGACAGAGCCCTGGGTGAGTCCAGGCTGTCCCTGCTGCACTAGGTGACTTGGGCAGGTATCTGGCAGGTATCTTCTCCACTTGCATCGATAAAATGAGGGTCTGGGGTCTGATTAGTAAACTTGCTTCCAGTTTAAGGGTTCTATGACTAGACCACTTTCCTCTCAGTCCAAGGATGGCAGGAAGGTCCCATCTCCTCCAAGGAGGGAAGGAGGAGCACGACATTATCAAGAACTTGCCTCCTGTCCTTCAGATTGCTTGATGACGTCTATTTGTATCCGGCTTAGAGCAGCCGGGTTTGTGTTGACTGCTGGGTACTCAGTCTTTAGCCGGCAAATACCTCCTGTAGCTCCGAAGGAGGTTGGGTGGGTGTAACAGGGCCAAGAAGAGCTGAGGGGCACTGGGGGTGCGTGGCAGTTAGGGTTGTTTTTCTTTTGTCTGTCCCTTCATTGATTAATATAGCAAAGGAGAGAGTTTTCAAACAGTAGGCATGTCTGGGTCCAGGCAGGCAAGTGATTAATCTTAGTTTGTTGCTGCTGACAGCTAGGAGAAAGAAATAATAAAGGTTTAGGGGCCAGTGGGAGTGGGGATATGAGGAAAGGCTGCTCTCCCCTCATCTATCAGCAGGGAGCAAGTCTCCACTTCCTTCTGCCGTCCAAGCATCCCCTTGTTGGGTTAACATCTGAGACTCCAGACACCTAGCTCCGTGGTGGTTGCTTGCTCCCATGTGTGAGCCACCAGGGTGGTCCCTGCAAGGCCACAGTGGGACCTCCCTGGCCATTGTTGAGTTCCCCACACAGCCCCAGCATACCTGAATACCTGACAGTGGACTTAGTAGGTCACTGTATTCCCCAGCCAGGCCCCTGCAGGGATGATGAAGCCTTTTAAGAGCAAACTTCAGGGAAGGCAGGTGTGTGCAGCTCAGGTACAGTACTGCTTGCCTCAGGACCCCCACACTGCTCAGCAGTGGTTGCAGGGGCCCTGAGCTCCTGGCCATGTGCCCCATGACTCCCCCAACAGAGGGAGCTCTGCACAGCGGTGAAGACAATGGCTCTGGGTCTTGGCTTAGGCTCTTGAAACCCAGCTCCGCCACATACTAACAGGGTAGTGTTGGGCAAAGGGACTGAACATCTCTGAGCCTTGGTTTTCTCATCTATAAAATGGGTTTCACAGGTGTATTAATGAAGACACAATATATGTGAAGTGCTTAGCATATGCTCCAGCATATAGTGAGTGCTCTATCAGTGGTAGCTCAAATGTCTTTATTATGGACCTCAGAGAGCCACGGGTTGTTGGGGAAAGAGCTCGGTGTGTCCCAGTGCATTGCAAATTGTCTGGGTTCAACCTGGAAGTCTCCATCTGTGCCCACATCCACTGTCCTTTACGATGATGGGTTCTAGATTTTATTGGCTACAGCTGGAAAGAATGCTAGAGAATCTCACAGAACTGGAGTCCAATCCAGGCTCCCCTCTTCCTGGATAACCTGTCTTGAACCTCTCACCTCTCTTGCACTCTGTACGTTGTGCTTTGGTGTGACCTTGGATGAATGAGTGAACTTCTCTGACCTCCTAGTTGCTCATCAGGAGCTGGAGATGATGACCACTCAACAGGTATCCTTTTTCATCACCATGCTGCTGCCCCTCCAGCTCTCCTGCCCATCTTCCGAACTTGTGGTCTGGCCTCCTCATCTCATAGGGAAGCATGTTGGCAGCCAGTCAAGGTAGCAGCTCCAGGAATACCCTAAGCAGAAATCTTGGGGTTTAGGGAACAGAAAGAGACTTTTTCAATTTTCTGGTCCAATATCTTGAACAAGTGGAGATACTGAGGCCCAGAAAGAGGAAGAAGCTTGCCTGCCTCTGGCTTTCCCAGCAGGCAAGCTGTTTGCTAGCAGCATTTGAGCCAGCCTGAGTCAGGGCAGCAGGGGTGGTGGGGGAAGAGGGGGTCTGTCTCTTTGCTCTTATCGCATGGAGGATTTCATGTCCTTTCAGGGCTCATGGAGGAAAAATGAACTTTCTGCTCAATTAGCGTGCTTCGTGTTTTCTCCTTCTAAAAGGTTTAAAAGAAATGCCACAATTAGAAGCCACTGCTGTAGGCAAAACAGAGACTCCTCAAACACTCTTTGCAGAGGACTAAATGAGAACAGTGAACTTTAGAATGTGCAGATGCCTTGCAGGATAAGAGAGTGCACCATTGAGGGGACACTGTGAGGAATATTAGATGACATTTCCCTTTATTCAGAATTACTGAGAAAATGTGCCCTGCTGGTGGTAAAACATTGCCAAGGACGCCACCCTCAACATTAGACTGGCACCTCTTCTGGACTCTGAGCCTGGTGCTTTGGTGATTCTGGTGCAGTGGGGGTGGAGAGTGTAGGAACAGCCCTGGGCCTATGCCCAGGAGACCTGGGTTCAAATCCTAGCTCTGCCTCTGACAAGTTACGGGATCCCAAACTAGTCACCATGATTTGCACCCTTCCTTTCTGAAGGGTTCAGACAGACCCTAGTTTGAGTTCTGCATATTCTCTGAGCCCTCTGTTTACTCTCTAGCACAGCAAGTGTAAATCCTGCCCCGCCACCTGCTCTGGGCTGCTGTAACATGTGAGTGAGGTGATACGGGTCAGCATGCCCAGCACAGGGCCTGATATTTGGGAATAGCCAGCTTTCACACTGTGATAGTATGTTCAAGAAGAGTAGCAACCATTGCCATCATTTTTACAGATAAAGAAACTGGTGTTCACATTACGTCACAGTTAATGAGTAAAGAGATGAGATTGCAACACAGCTCGAGGCCTCTTTCTACCTTGTGGGGTCTCTCGGAATAGAAACACCCCCATTCCTCCCTAGCAGGCCCTGAGAAGCCCAGCCAATGGCCAACTAGTTCTCTGGACCAAAGCTGGATTTTCTGACAGGACCTGTGACCATGAGCCCTGTGCCCAGCATTTCTCAGACCCCTTTCCCCAGGCAGTGGTGACATGGAGAAAGCCCAGAGACCTGAAACCAGAGGGGCTGGTTCTGAGCCAACAGTGTCAGCATCCATGACCCAAATAGAAGAGTCTAGTTTCTTCTCTGGGTCCAGCCCTCAAGGAGCTGTGAAGAAAGCGCAACTCATTGCTCCTACTTTACAGAAGAGGAAACAGAGGCTCAAAGGGGCTTAACCTGTCTTAAGGCCGTGTTGTCAGGGAGGGGCAGAGGCTGAGCCTGCCCAGCTCCTGGACCACTGTTCTTTCCTGACCCTTCTCAGCCATTTGCTCCAGCTAAGCTTAGAAGTTCTCCATTTGCACTCAGGTGCTAGGCTGATGATGCTGAGACTATCTGGTAGCAAACTAGGAGGCCAAGGCCAATTCAGAGGGGCCAGTGGCAGGCGGCCTACATACCTGATGAGAGAGAAGTTTAGGAAGCCCTATCTGGCCCTGGGTGTGTGATATAGATCAGGAGAGAAGGACTAGGGCAGTGGGAGTAGAAAGGAGAGGTGTGTGGAGGTAGAATTGATGAGAGGGAGGAGGAGTGAGGAGTCAAGGACCACATCCAGATTTCGGAGCAGCTGGGTGGATAGTGGCTCTCCCGGCTGCAACGTAGACCTGGAAAAGACCAGGAAAACAGACTCCCTGCAGCTCAGCTTCCCCCTTCCCAATGCTGCCTAAAACGCAGAGGCAAGAGGTGCCTGCTCTCATTCTGCCTCACTCTGCCAGTTCACGGCCCAGTGCACCACCCCCCAACCCGGCAGTGCCAGACGTGCCCGTCAACAGGCTGGGGTTCCCTCCCTGGACTGCTGCGTCTCCCGTCTGAGCCAGGGATGGAGCAGTGCCCTTTGTTTTACCGGAGCTCCTTGGTCTTCTCCAGCATCTGAGCAGCCGCGATTACATTTCCAGCCGGTTTTTAATTGTCTCGTATCAGCCCACATAAATCTGCCTGTGCGGCTCCGCCACCAGGGAAGCATTCCAACTGCCCGTCTGTCTCCAGGAAACCTCTCGTGCCCCGGGACAGTTGCCTTCTGAGGCATTGGGTGGTCTCTCCAAATGAGAAAAACATTTCTTTCCAATCACATTTCTAACATCTTGTTAATTTGAATTATTTAACAATATTTTTGCAAAAGCCATCTGGGAATGAGTTGGTTGGCGACTTGGGAGAAGGCATAGAGGGTGCTGCAGGGAAGGCCACGAGGACAGCTGCAGACGTCACATCTGCTATCAGTGAAAGGGTGGCTGCATGGAGAGGAAGGCTGTGATCAGGAGCCCGGGGATTACAGCCTGAATCCCACCATTCCTACCAGCCAGGAGGTCACCAGTGAGTCACTTCCCGTCTCAGCCTCTGAGCCCTGAGGCCCAGATTTGCAATGGCAGTGGAAGCTCTTGTAAACTCTGAGAGGCTGCACAGATGCAGGTAGGGTGGTTTGCAGAGCCTTTGTGCTGTAGGGGCTTATTTTACTGATAGCTGGGTAAGCGATACAAAGGCCCCACAGGAAACATGATTGGCCCTTACCTAGAGGCATTCGGTGGGGCTTGAAGCAGCTAACTTCACGTGGTAAAATCCCAGTGTTAAGGCAGGGCCTGACTGTTCCCCAGACTTTTGGGGAGTCAGAGCCCAAAGGGAGTTGAATCATCCAGGTCAAGACCCTGGTGGGGTCAACTGAGGCACAGGAAGGCAAGAGGACCTTCCTGAGGTCCTCTGGAAGGCTGCTGGTAGAGCCCCCAGAAGTCCCAGCTCCCACCCCAGGGTTATCACCCTTTGGAGCCCCGTAAGCACTGTATATTCTTCTCTCATTTTCTCCACAGACATTGTCAGTCCTTGAGGCAGATTTATAAAATCAGATGTCAAATTTTATAGCCCTTGTCTTCGCTCCCGCAGTTCAAATGCTAGGGCTATAAAATGAGGTTTTGTTGTGTATGCGGCACACTCGCACGCAGGCGCCCTTGCCCTCTGTTGGAGCAGAGGCTGTTCCATCCGCGGGTCTATGTCTTTCACCTGCTCTTCTCTAGGAAGCTCCCCTGTGAGCAGCCTCCATCCTCCTTCCAGCACGAGTGTTTGCCACTTTTAATAATGCTTTGCTTTTTTTTTTTTTCTTATCTTTTTAAAGATTATTTCACCCAAGAGGAATATCAGAAACAATTGGGTTTGGCAAAGCTAGCTTATTCCAAATGCTTTAATTAAAACCATTTTTTAATTTTAATTTTATTTTTGCCATTTCTTTTGGAAAATCCACACTCTGCTTATGGCCTCAGGCAGCTTGGAGATCACCCTGCCACGTTTTAAGCACAGGCTTTCAGGGCGGAGCTTATAGACAAGTCAGCAGCATGGCTTTCACCACTGAGCTCTTATCGTGCCCTGGGCTGTCAGCTGGGTGAGGAGACAAAGACATGTCAGCCTCTGAGCTCACAGTCCAGACAAGGAGACAGGACAGTAGGGAAGTACTGTGATGTACAGAGGTGTGGCAGAAGACAAAGCGAGGGAGAAAGAAAGTAAGTCTGACTAGGGGCATCTTGGAAGTCTTCCTGGAGGAGGGGCCAGTTGAGGAGGACTTCAGATGTTAAGATGTTTGAGAGGAGAAAACTGGGGAAGTTATGGGGAAGCAACAGGACATTTAAGCAACAAGGACATTTAAGTTGGAGATTAGAGGAAAGGCCGTATGCAGTGTCCTTCCTCCCTAAGGTCCCAACTTGGCTAGGGTAGCTGGCTGTTCAGTTTTCCCTTGGAAGTGACAGAGCCTCTCTCTGTTTTGTAAAATGTCACCCAGTTTTTGTTTCCAGTTTGAGGTGCATAAAATGTTACAGCTCTTCTAGAATTTGTCTAGCAGATTTTCCAGTTTTTACTAGAAACCCCCCAGGAAAAAAATCTAGGTACATAAACCCTGGGACCTTGCTTTCTAAATTTGCCATCTAACATCTGATTTTGACCCTCAGGGTTGTAGTGTGAAATGATTTGTCATCTGCTAGGAACCTTTCTTGGCTGAGCGTTCTTTGGGAATGTGTCTTTTGGTCTCAACACCCCAGAGGGCCTGGCACATGATAGGTACTCAGGAAACGTTTGGAGATTATATTTGGGAGAAAAGTAATCACAACATGCAAAATGAGCCATGATTGTAATAAAATCAGATTGCAAAGGTCAGCCCAGTCGGTAGCCGTATATCACATGCATGTACGCATGTGTGTGGGAAAAATATAGGAAGGCACTATGCCAAATTGTGATTAACCACTGTCTGTGGTGATGAAATGGCAGGTTTTTATCTTCTTTTTATTTTAGATTTGTGTTTTCTGGATTTTCCACAGTGAATCTCTTTTATAATGGTGTTTTGTTTGGTTTTGTTTTGTTTTTTGAGACAGAGTCCCGCTCTGTCGCCCAGGCTGGAGTGCAATGGCGCTATCTCGGCTCACTGCAACCTCTGCCTCCCAAGTTCAAGCAATTCTCCTGCCTCGGCCTCCAGAGTAGCTGGGATTACAGGTGTGCATCACCACGCCCGGCTAATTGTTGTATTTTTTTTTTTTTTTTTTAGTAGAGACGGGGTTTCACCATGTTGGTCAGGCTGGTCTCGAACTCCTGACGTCAGGTGATCTGCCTGCCTTGGCCTCCTAAAGTCGCCCGGCCTATAATAGAGATTTTTTTTTTCTTTAATGAGGCAGAGCAGGAAGCTCATTGGCTATGGAGTTAGGAAACGCATTTCTGGTTCCGGCTCTGTCTTGAGATTTTCTTTGTAACTTCTCTGTGCCTCAGTTATTTGGGGGTACTTTAATTGGCTCAGTAGAGAAAAAGCATAGAGTATCGTGGCTAAGAAGGTAGACCACCTGGAGCCAGAATCCCTCCCTGGTTCAGATCTCGATTCTGCGTCTTACTAGCTGTATGGCCTCCATTTCTGCATCTGTACAATGGGGAGAGTAATAGTTCCTACATCTCAGGATCGTTGTGAGGCATAAATGCAATCGTGGTCCAGGACCACGATTTTGTACACTCTGAAGCCCTAGTCAGCTCTCTCTGACTCCCCACAGCAACTCACTTTACGCTGAAGGAGACGGGCTCAGAGAGATGAGGGGCTCACCTGTGGCCATAGCAGTGCTCTACATCCCAGCCCTCCATCCCTTCAACAACTCCCCACCACTTCCCAGTCTGCCAGAGAGCAAGCCGTGTGCCCGTCATTTCCTCCTGGCACTAAAGGCGTATGCCCCACCGAGGCCGAACACAACCTCGCAGGGAGAAATGCATTTGCACGGTGCCGGGCAGGCTTTTCTTAGCTCCTGGTATAGCTTGAACAGGCGTCTGCAGAGTGTTCTCAGAGGCAGGAAGAATGATGCCAGTAACAGTGATTAGAAACTCGAGGCAGTGTAGGATTCTGACACATCGATGGTAAGATGACTGAGGCAACAAACGCAGGAGATGGTGTGACCCGGACACCCACATTTCAGACTCACAGTCTCCAAATATTCGCATAACTCCATGTTGAGTTCAGATTTTCAGGCTAGGAAAATACATTTTCCTGTTCTGAATTGTTCCAACCCTAACCAAAATGTCATCTCTGAAGAAGCTAGGGTTGCCTGTTTTACTTCTGTGGGATCTGTGTTTTCAGGAAGCAATCAGTTCCTATAGTAAGTAACTTTGTGGAACTCAATTACTTGCAGACGTGCAGGGGGAACAAAAAACAGCAATAATTAATGTGGTCAAACCCAAGCCAAATAATAAAATGAAAGCTTTGTTGTCTGTCAAGGCAGAAATCAATTTCATTAGGGAGCAAAGAGCCAGAGATTTAATTTTGAGAAAATTCTCCACCCTGTGGAAAGAGGTTGTCAAAAAGCTGCCAGAATGAGTGTCCAACATGAGAGGATTTGCCCCCCAGAACCGTGACCACAAAGAGCTGACAGTGACCTTTGAATGTTCCATTTCCAAACCTTCCAAGTGTGGCCAAAGCCAGTGGGCTTTTGCTTCTTAAAATTCTTGGACCCAACTGTACACAGTGGCTCACGCCTGTAATCCTAGCACTTTGGGAGGCCAAGGCAGGAGGATCACTTGAGCCTAGGAGTTCAATACCAGCCTGGGCAACATAGTGAGACGAGGTCTCTACAAAAAAAAAAAATTAATTAGCTGGGCATGGTGGCTCACACCTGTAATCCTAAACTACTCAGGAGGCTGAGGCAGGAGGATCACTTAAGCCCAGGAGTTAGAGGTTACAGTGAGTTATGAATGTGCCACTGCACTCCAGCCTGGACAACAAAGCAAGACCCCCATCCTTTCCCACCACAGAAAAGCTCTCGGCCCCATGCACCTTTTAGGGTGCTCAAGAGATGAGTGTTACTATACCTGATGACACTTGCATGTCAATAAGACCCTGTCTCTTGGGACTTGGGAGGGGCTGGGAGAGGGGGGGACTCAGGAGGTCCGCAGACCCCAAAAAGGAGTTCAACCGAAGCTCAGGAGTGTCTGTGTTAATGATGGAGTTGTGTCCAGCCAGAAGGACTGATGGCCAAGCTGGACAGACCCCACGGGACCCTGTTTAGTTGCTGACTCCCGCTGTGTGAGAGATGGTGACTGCCTGGGGAACGGGCAGCAGAAGCGACCAGGATGGGAAAGGACAGGAAATTCTGCCCCAGGGGCACAGCTGGAAAAGAGTAGCCCGGGTCTTCCTGTCTCTGAGGGACCTTCACAGGGCAGAAGCAGTGGCCTTGGCCTGCAGGAGCTAGAGCTCGGAGCTGGGCTAATCTCAGCAAGCTGTAGTTAGCCACATTTCAGCTCAGGACATGGAAGAACTTAACCACAGGCAAAGCTGTCTGTTTGGAATGGGTTGTCTTGGTGGGGAATGAGCTCTCTGGTGATGGTGGTAAGTAGCAAAGCTGGACAGTAAATATTGCGGATATTACAGAGGAGTTTCCATCATTAGATGGAACTAGAATGATGATTCTCAAACTTGAACATGCATCAGAATCTCTTAGAGGGCGAGTTTACAACAGATTTTGCTTGCAAAGAGATCCAGGGGGCCACAGGCTTAACAAGTAAGTCTCTGGGTACTGGTGGACATTCTAGGACACACTTGAATAAACTCTATTTTTTAAAAACCTCCACTCCACTTCCAGCCCTGGGGCTCCATGGTGTCTGTAATGAAGGCGAGTCCTTTTGTTTAATATCCTTCCTTCCCATGTGGTATGAGCATCTCCTATGTGCCAAGCTTCAAAGGTTGTCTCTTCATCATGTAGATGGGGAAACCAAGGCCTGAGAAGGCAGAAGCCAGGACCCCAACACCCAGTTCTGAGCTCTTTACTTAGCTTTCAGTGGACTTCAGGGAACATTGTAAACTATTCTCTATTTCACAGATGAAGAAACTGAGGCCTAGATTCCCAAGAACTATTGGGAGTTTTTCCACCAGGAACCACGGTCATTCATATAATTTGCAAAAGGTCCTTGGCAGGGTTTCTGGGTGGTTCCCAGTCAACCCGATGCCTTTGAAATTCCAGGGAGGAAAAACCACCCTCAGGTTAGATGCAGTGGCCTTTGAGCAGGCAGATCTGTCTTAATTTGCAGTTTTAAAAGGCCCCTCTGGATTTTTTTTCTTCTTTTCAAATAAAGTTTATTGTGTATAATGAAGATATACACCATGATGTTATAGAATACATACAGATAGTAAGAAGGTTACTAAGAGCTAGATGCAGTACCTCATGCCTATAATCCCAGCGCTTTGGGAGGCCAAGGCAGGAGAATTGCTTGAGCCTGGGAGTTCAAGACTAGCCTGGGCAACGTCGTGAGACCTCATTACTATAAAAAGTTTTAAAAATTAGCCAGGCATGGTGGCACACCCCTGTTGTCCTAGCTCCTTGGGTGGCTGAGGCAGGAGGATTCCATGAGCCCAGGCATTTGGGGTTACAGAGTGAGCTGTGATTTTACCACTGCTCTCCAGCCTGGGCGACAGAGCAAAACAAAAAATGTTCCTATAGTGAAACAAATTAACATATCCCTCACCTTACATAGTTACCTTTTTTTTTTTTTTTTTTTGTGGCTAGAGCAGCTAACATCTACTCATTTAGTATGAATCCCATATGAAGTACAATTTGTTTATTACCTGTGGTCCTCGTGTTGTGCATCAGCTCTCTAGACTTGTTCATCCTGCATGTCTGCTCTTTTGTACCCTCTGACCTACATCTCCCCATCTCCTCCCCACCCTGCCCCAAGGACCCACTGTTTTTTTCTCCATCTCTACATATTTGAATTTGTTTTAGATTCCACATGTAAATGAGATCAATCATACAATATTTTTCTTTTCTTTTTTTTTTTTTTTTTTTTTGAGATGGAGTTTCGCTCTTGTTACCTAGGCTGGAGTGCAGTGGCGCGATCTTGGCTCACTGCCTCCTGGGTTCAAGTGATTCTCTAGCCTCAGCCTCCCGAGTATCTGGGATTACAGGCACCCGCCACCATGCCTGGCTAATTTTTGTATTTTTAGTAGAGACGGGGTTTCATCGTGTTGACCAGGCTGGTCTCGAACTCCTGACCTCAGGTGATTCACCCACCTTGGCCTCCCAAAGTGCTGGGACTACAGACGTGAGCCACCACACCAGGCCATATACAATATTTTATTTCTGTATCTGGCTTATTTCACTGCCCCTAATGTCCTTCAGGCCTATTCCTGTGTGGTGAATGACAAGATCTTTTTTAGGGCGGAATAGTATTCTGTCATACATACACCACAGTTTCTTTATCCATTCATCCTTGACAGACCTTCAGTTGTTTTCATATGCTGACTGTTGTGAATGGCGCTGCTGTAAACATGGAGTGCAGATGTCTTTACAAGATGGTGATTTTACTTCCTTTGGGTATATGCCCAGAAAAGGGATCGCTAGGTCATACTGTAGTTCTACTTCTAATTTCCTTACAAAGCTCTTTACTCTTTTCCATAATGGCTGTACCAATCTACATTCCCACCAACAGTGTATAAGAGTTTCCTTTTTTCCGCATCCTCGCCAACATTTGTTATCTTTTGACTTTTTGATAATAGCCATTCTAGTGGGTATGAAGTGATACCTCATAGTGGTTTTGACTTGCATGTCCCTGATGATTGCTGATGTTGAACACCTTTTCATATACCTGTCAGCCATTTTTTTATGTCTTCTTTGGAGAAATGTCTATTCAGGTCTTTTGCCCATTTTATAATCAGGTTATTTGTTTTTTCACTATGGAGTTATGTGAGTCCTTTATAAATTTTGGATGTTAACCCTTTATCAGATGCATGGTTTGCAAATATTTTTTCCCAATCTGTAGGCTGCCATTTCATCTTATTGTCTCCTTTACTGTGCAGGAGCTTGGATGTAGTCCCATTTATTTATTTTGAGCTTTTGATATGATATCCAAAAAAATCATTGCCAAGGCCAGTGTCCAGGAGCTTTTCCCCTGGGCTGTAAGAGTTTTATAGTTTCTATTTTTATATTTAGGTCTTTTATCCATTTTGAGTTGATTTTTTGTGTGTAATAGAAGATATGGGTCCAGTTTCATTCTTTTGCATGTGGAAATCTAGTTTATTAGCACCATTTATTGAAGGGATTATCTTTTCTCCATTGTGTCTTCTTGGTACCCTCATCAAAAATTAGTTGACCCATATGTGTTTGGATTTGTTTCTGGGGTCTCTATTCTGTTTCACTGGTCTATGTGTCTGTTTGTATGCCAGTATCATACTGTTTTGATTACTATAGCTTTGTAATATAATTTCAAATCAGGAAGTGTGATGCCCCCAACTTTCTTTTCTTCTTCAGCATTGTTTTGGTTACTCAGGGTCTTTTATGGTTACTCAGGGTCTTTTATGGTTCCACATGAATTTTAGGATTGTTTCTTCTTTTGCTGTGAAGAATGACATTGGGGTTTTGATAAGGATTGTTGAGTTTCTCATCTTTACTTTTTTTCTTAAATAAAACTAAGTTAGATAAGGTGCTTTGTGGATAGTGAGTCCGCTTCATTGCTGTGCTGGTGAACACCCTTGGTCAGTTGGTGAGGAGGCCCCCACCAGGGTGGGCCAGGAAGAGACTGGTGAGGGTGAGCACTGTGCTTTAGCAAGAGCAAAGGTCCATGGGGTGACTCGGGATGAGAAATGAGGAGCAGGGGGCATTGCTGCTTCCTTCCCCTCTCCCCTCCCTGCATGTCCCCTCCCCCTGCCACATCCCCCACCCCAGCTTGTCACACCCCATTACTGCAGACTCTAGTCTGCTGGTCTTGCCAGAGAATCCTCCGCAATAGAGGCATGGGGCAGGGGCTGTATTGCGGAAAGAGAGCAAACCTCTGCCCTTCTCTGAGCCTCAGTGTCATCTGTAAAATGATGACAGGGAACCAAATGATCTCAGAGTATCTGGTTGGTGTCTTGTCTCCCTCAGAAATGTTGCATTTAGAGCAGTGCACACAGTAGACACTTAATAAATGCCATTGACCATCTATGACCAGTTTCCTGTTTAGTTCGTTTTCTGTTTTGTTTTTTGAGACAGGGTCTCACTCTGTCGCCCAGGCTGGACTGCATTGGTGTGAACACAACTCACTACAGCCTCAGCCTGCCAGGCTCAAGCAATCCTCCCACCTCAGCCTCCCAAGTAGCCGGGACTACAAGCGTGTGCCACCATGCCCGGCTAATTTTTAAATTTTCTACAGAGATGAGGTCTCACGATGTTGCCCAGGCTGGTCTCACAAACTCCTAGGCTCAAGAAATTCTCCCGCATTGGCCTTCCAAAGTGCTGGGAGTGCATGAGTCACCACGCCCAGCTTCCTTTTCTCTTTTCATGTGGATCCTGTGTGCAACAGTGTGCCTTAGAGACTGTGGTGAAAGAACACTTGATGTTTCAGGAAATCGATCTCAGGGCAGTAAACGCCTTGCCCCGTGTCATCCGGCCACAGAGCTGGGCCAGAACCCAGGTATCCCACCCCAGCCAGGCAGGCTGCCCAACTGGAGGAGACGCTCCTGCAGCCACATCCATGGCTTCTGGGCTGCCAATGCAGCCGTGAATGACAGAGCAGACGTATGGGAAACCTAGCTCAGTGCTCAGCCCAGACAGCACAGAGCCAGCCAGGTGCACCAGACACACCAGACAGGCGGCCACTGGTGCAGTGGCTCCTGCCCAGCAGATGAGAACAAGACCCACGCCAGGACCCTGAGTCCTGCACTGGCGTCAGTATTTTCTGAAAGGCACTGTTCTTCATTTAAAAATTTAAAAATGCATTAAGCTGGAATCTAGTGCCAGCCCCCTGTTTCACGTCATGCTTATCCGAGGGGCCTGCCAAAGAGTGCAGATTTGTACCCAGGTGACCAGGCTCCAACGACATCCTGCATACTCGGCGGCACCTCCGCACCTGGCGAGCCTTGCTTCCCTGCTGTCCAGACCTCAGACTACCCTTGTGGGTGAACAGTGAAAGCTCTACTTCCCAGATGAGGACCTGAAGCTCAGACCAGGCACAGTTCAGGGCAGGGACTCAGATACAGGTCTGGGTGGCCCTGAGCCTGGGCTGCGTACAGCACCATCCTCAGGCACCCCAAGGCCCACCCCCCTCTCCAGCCCTGCCTGGGTCAACCCCAGGGCGCTGGCCCCCTTTGGGCTATAAAAGCCATTGTGCGCTCCAAGTCCTCCCCTCGGCAGCTGGGGCTTCCCCCGAGGCTGCCTTGGCCCAGCCTCTGCATGGTCCTGCTCTGGAGTCTCCTCAGATGTGGTACATCTCCCACCATGTGCTGCTCAGGTGGGACTAGGGGGTCCTGTCCTTGGAAACAGCCTGGAGCCCTCTGGAACCAAGCCATTTGGCAGATTCCGCTCTGTGTCTTACACCTTTACATAAGGGGCCAGGCGAGCCGGGATTCGTCAGACGTTCACACTTCATGTGGAGGTTCTCATCTGCCCCTCACCACAGCAGCAAGGGTGGACTCTGGTTATTCCCATGTTGTGGATGCAGAATTTGAGGCACTGGCCGTCTAGCGAGTGGTGTGGCTTTAGCCTAGGCACTGTGGGAAGCTGGGCTACATTATTCTTTGTTGTGGGGGCTGTGCTGTGCGTCGTAGGGTATTTAGCAGCGTCCCTGGCCTCCTCTTACTTAGATGCCAGTAGCACCTATGTACCAAGACATTGCGAGTATTCCCCAGGGAAGAGGGAGTGCAAAATTGCCCCAGGTAGGAGCCACTGCTTTAAGGAGCCTAAGGGCTCAGATAGCCTTGTCCTCAGTAGGAAGAGATCACCCTTGGCCTGGATTCTGTCCATCCTGTTGGCACAGGCATGAGAAGCCTGCTTTTGTCATTTTGCTGTCCCCAAGCCCAGGATCCACTGTGGCCAGTGTACCCACCTGTCTCCCTCCATGAGGGGAGCCATTCTGCCCTGCCTTGTTCCTCCTGCTGTGGTGCTCCCACCCACACTGGCATGTCCGTCACTGACTTGAGAACTCAGCACTGAAGGGATCCCCTCCAGCTTTTCCAGAGGGAGACGCTGAGGCCCAGGGGGAGGGGACTTGCCCAGCCAATGATATCAGTGGGATCAGACTTTGAACTTCCTCCCTTTGGGGAAGCGCCCAGGGCTGAAGAGTGGAGAAAAATAATTTCCGACACACAGGCCTTCATGTTCCTAGAAAAGTCCTCAATTAGAGGTAGAAAAAAAAAAAAGAGAGAAAGAGAAAGAGAGGAAGGAAAGAAAGAAGCCCTAGACCCTGTTTCCCTTTCCTGAAGCTTTGGCAGCATTTCACCATCCCCCTCCGCTTCTGCGTCCAGCCCTCCTTGCAGTTTCCACGTGCACTTGGCTGAGGCTGGTGGGAACCCTGAGGGGGGACTACAAAAGGCATCCAGCGGGATCCACCCACCAAGTGTCATTGCCTTCCCACTTACACACCCCTGGTAATGGGAGGCTTACTCCCTCAGTCTGAGCGCTCATCATTTAAAAACTTCTTGTCTAATAATGTGTTGGTTTTCTCATGAGAAAAATTGCCCAAAATGGGTTCATTTTGACATACCTACTGCTTTGTGTGCTAAAACGAGCCTTATGCCTCTACATGTTCGCCAGGAGAGGCATCTGCCAGCTCTCCTGCCTAGAGATGGCTTTTTGTCATGATTTACTGAAGGCCTTCACCCTGGGCCACCAACTTAGAGCTTGAGAAATGCCCTGGCGTCTCGGGTAGGCTAATCGCTGCTGATGCGTCTATTGAAAGTCTAATTATTTGGTTGTAAATCACGTCATTTTGCTCAGCAGCGTTTACATTGAGACGTTTGTTCACAATAACTTGGTGTGTGTGTCTTTGGCTTGTCACTGTGAAGGCTGCTTTGGAAGCTGTGGGCAGGATGCAGGTGTTGGCCACGTGGCCTCCTAAGCTCCTTTATCCCAGCTGCCTTGACTATTAGAACATCTCAGCTAGAAGGAGCCTCCATGCCCCCTGCCCCACGCCTCAGACAGCTGGAGAAACCAGTCACACAGTGAGATGCACTTACATCCTGGTCCCCTGGCTTGGGAAGCCCTGATAGCCTTGCATCGTGACTGGGCAAGTTGCTTCTCCCTCAGACCCTTAGTCTTCTCATCTGTGCAGTGGGTATCTTGCATATAATGCCAGCCCTCCCAGCTTCCTTGGGAGGCCACAGGTTAGTCCAGTCATGGACCAAGGGAGCATTTAAGGTCTTCTCAGCCATGCCAGAGGTAGGCCAGGCCCTGTGTGAGTGGGATCTGCCTGGGCTCTGGGTGAGTAATTGGACCACAGAGGTGGACTGTTGAAATATTTGCTGTGGAGAAGCCACATCTCTCACAGTGTTGGGGCAGTGTCTGTAAGGAGGTAGCCCAGGTCCAGGCTACAGCTCTCCATGCATTTGGGATTGTTGGCTTTCTGCTAAGATAGCAGGGCCCTCTCTTTGCTGAATGCTGTACTGAAACAGTGGCCTAATTCTCTTCAGAGATCTCTACCGCCTCTTTATCTACCACACATTGAGGGAGAACGGGGTCGTGTGTCTGCCTGGCAGGCGGGCACCCACTCTGGCTCTGTGAAGATTCAATGGACTTGTGTTCAGTCTCACTTCTCGCCTCAGTGGCTGCATAGTCCCAGGCCAGTCACTTGAGCCCTCTGACTCTGTTTCCCCACCTGGAATCTGTAGGCCCATCTCTTGGTGTTGCTGTGAAGAGGTACATAGAGCTCTTGGCAGCATGGCCACAGTCGGTAAGATGGGTAATGCTGTGCTTCTCGAATCTTCTAGCACTAGTGTTGCTGAAGTGGCTGCATCCTGCTCGCGGGTGTGAGGAGGAGAGTTTCTTTAGAGGCATAGACCTAGCAAAATGTCCCACTTCCCTGGAGGTCAAAGAGGCGGCAGGAGGAGAGCAGAAGTTGTGAGTCATAAAGGCACTGCTTTCAAGAGGCAGAATTGCCATCCTCAGGGTGGGGGTGGGGTTATGGCAGGAACTACCCATTTTGCAGGCTTGTAGGTGACCACGGAGGTACCTTGCCATGGTCACCCTCCATGCTGGCTCTCACCCACATCACAGCAGGTTAGCATTAGAGCTGGGCCTGACTCCCTTCAATTCCGCACAAACTTCCCTGTTTGCCTCCACCCTGTTGGAAGCAAGTACATGTCTGTGGGGGTGGAAGGGCCCTTCCCCATGCCAAGCATAGAGGCAGTGCTCCCAGGGATCAGAGTGTGAGCACTCGCTGCCCTGCTCCCCAAGGCCAAGGGACCTGCGACACCTCCCTCACCTGAGAATTATCTGGCAACTGATGGTTGAGTGCACTTTAAATGCACAAGCTCATTCTGTCTCTCCTTCCAACAACCTGGCCCAGGAATCTTCGCACAATGTAAGATTTAAATGTTTAAAATGGCCCAACAGCTTTGTGCCACATTCTTTGGGGTAATGGAAAATAAAGTCATAAGAAAGAGTAGGGGTAAAAAATAGCAAAATAAAATAGCCCAACAAGAAGAAAAGACGCAGCCACTTAGAGCCTGAGTAGGGAGGGGCAGGGCCAGCGCTCACATTACCCCTTCAAGAAGACCATGATTTTGCAAGGGAACTTGTCTCACTTTCATGTTTTATTTAGGCCTGGGCAGGGGACACTGGGCGGCTGAGTGGCCTCAGGAATAAGTCCTTTCCAAATCCTAAGGGAAGAGGGCTCTGGTGCATTCTTCCCTGTGGCCTCCCTGGGGGAGACTTTCTGATTTGAAAAGCGTGTGCCTGTGTACTCACCTCATAGGGATGACCCTCCGGAAGCTCCCCAGTCCTTCCCACTCTGCCAGTTCTCACTGGCTCGTCCTGGGACTGTTGCTGACTGGAGAAAGCATCCACTGTATCCAGCCTCAGAGTGGGCAGCTTCTCCCTTTGCTGGGCTGCAGTCAGGGACAAGGTCGACCAGCCACCAGCCTGCCCTGGGAAGCTTACGTCTGGAGGGGAGGATGCATGGGGCCTCATTGCCCCGGCTCTGGGCAGACCCTGGTGGGCGGGTGGATGGATGGATGGATGGATAGATGGGTGGATGGGTGATGGGCACAGTGCCCCAGCTGTGTGCCAGGCATGTATGTGTGCCCAGAGGCCAGAGGGGGCTAAGGCTCAGCCTGCTGAGAAACATCACAATGGGCTGACAGGATTCTTAACCTCCAGTTCTCACCAAGCTGCAGGGAAGCCAGATCTTGGGGCAGAAAGAGGCCAACGGGTAGCTGAGCAGAGGAAGATGAGGCTGTGGTGGGAGCTTCAGGGCCTTGAATGCCAGGCTTTGGAGTTCAACAAACATAGGTTCAAATCCTAGCCCTACCATGTCCCATGAGACACAATTTTCCTGAGCCTCAGTTTTCCCATCTGTAAACAGTGATCATTCTAACAACTTAAAGTTGTTTGCTCTACAGTTTAAATGAGATAATATGTGGCAACAGCTCAGCTCAGAGCCCAGTACCCAGTAGGGGCTCTTGAAGTACTGGGTGTTGTTATATCTGTTTTGGCCATGGGGAGCCTTAGATGGTTTTGACCTGAGGGCTAATGTTCTGGGGACATCTGGGTCAGGACAGCAGCTCCCCATGCACCTTTCAAGCTAAGGTAAACCAGAAATCCCCTCTGTGTCTGGAGTCCTGTAACTGGGTCCCACACATTAGTCCCAAAGGCCAATTTCCATCCTTCTCCTGCATAAATATTATATGCAAGTATTTTTAAGTCATTTCATCATGAAAAGAAGCGATTTAACATAACTATTACCCAGGATTCTTCATGAAATATGCATCAAGCAATTAGGTCTAAAAGCGAGAGGTGAGGCCTCGCACCCTGCTCGGCGGCCGGCAGCTGCAGGCTGAGTAATGTTTTATTAAAGCCCGTGATTGCGCTGCAAGGTGGGGCCTGTTATTAGCCCTGCGTGCCCGGCACATTTGATAATCCTGATGATGAGGAGGTGCTTTTTGTGATGATAATGAGCGATCTGAACGCCTGTGACAGCTCCAGCACCCCGGCCTCTGCCAGCCTTACAAGACTCATTAGACAGGTCACCCACCAGAGACACCTCTCATTGTGACTTTGCCCTCGCAAGATGTCCTATCAAAGGAGATGTGGCTGATGCAGGAGCTTGGCAGGCATAGCAGCCTGTTGAAGCTCCCCGGGGGCAATGCCCTCCCTGAACGACGATGGTGCTGATGACGGTGCCGAGGTGTGGAAGCCCATGCTGCCTTGAAGAAGGGTGGGAGGAGATGTGGCTCGGAGCCCGGCTCAGCTGGCTCGGGATGCGGGGCCGGGGCTCTGGGTTCACCTGCAGCCTGCCTTGCTGTGCGCCTTGGGCCAGGGTAGTGTACTCTCTGGCCTCAGTTTCCTCCACGGTACCCCAGGGGAGTGAGAGGTGACCCCCAGGCTGCTTGCAGCTCAGAATACATGCTGCCTGGAGCAGCCATACTCCTTGCCTGATGAACCCCTCTGTTCTCCACAGAAGTGCTCATGCTTCCTTTGCTCATGCTCGCGTCTCCTTTTGTGTGAAGGTGGGAGTCACTGAAGCCACTCCTGGCAGCTGCTTTTAAATCTTCAACTGTTAGATGGCATCTCCCTCATGGGGACCTTAACCAATGAGAATGTATTGTCACAGCATGTCTCCTGGCTGTGTGTGGACAAGGCGTCACCTGACCCTTGCATTGGTCGAGGATTGGCAGATAGTCTCGGGACCTCGGACCCCTGGGGGGGCGGTCACCACCCTGCCTCTCAGGCTGGGGGGCTCCACCAATCAGAACATGCCATTTCCAATCCTCGGCACAGCCCCTTGTGTGGGTGCCACACATTGTCTTTTACTCCCAGCCCCTCTGCTGTCTCTGACCTGCCGTCAGCCCTGCACCATGGGCGCTGTGGAGGCGGAAGATCAGCGTGGAGGGGATGTTTGCTCAGAGTCTGACGCCTCTCATCCGCCCCCTCTGCCTGGCTTCACATGGAACACTGAGGGTTACATGAGGCCCTCTCTCAGGTCTGGGGAGTGCTGAGGTCAGGAGCACTGACTCTGGGCATCTGCTGCTGATAATCACTGTGTGACTTTGGGCCAGACACCTCCCCTTTCTGCACCTCGGTGCTTCAGGACATAGAGCCTGGCCTACAGGAAGGATTGTCCCTGAAGGCAATCCTGGCCAATGCCCCAGTGAAAGCAGGACTGGGGATGAGGGCAGCGGTGGAGGGAAGGTGTGAGGCTGCTTGCAGACCCCTTCCTGCAGGAAGCCCTCAGCGGGTAGGCAGCAGATTATGTTTTGCACATGTGGAATCCAGGATCTAGGGCTGGAAGTACCCCCCAGGGTCATCTAGTCAGCCTCCCTGTGGATGCAGCAGGAGAAGGGACAGAGCCCAGCAAGGCACAAGGATAGCCTGAGGGCCAGGGAACCCACGGGGTGCAGTGCTTGAGCCCAGGAGGGTCAGCATGTGAACGCGCCTTTCTCCCTCTGCCTGAGAATGGTCAGGCCACAGACTAGAGGTTCATGGAGCCCAAGTGCTGGTCCCAGCTCTGCCTTGGTCTCTGAGCTTCATGACCAGTCTGCCCCATCGGCACAGCCTGGCTCAGGGTGGTAAACTCGTGGGTGCTTACACAGGCGAGATAGGAGTGTGTTGGGGGTGATAAACAGCAGGCTCAGACAGGCAGGAGGGACTTCCCGGGGACGTCTAGACTCTCTTCAGCCTGGCAGCTGCCCCACCTCGCTATCTGTCGGCAGCCAAGGTACAGAGGACATTGTGTGGCTTTTAGTACTTGGTGGCCATTCTAAGCCCCTAACCTGGGAACAGAGGAGCTTAGCTTCTGCTTCGGACTCTGTCAGAGCCATTGCTGCTATCACTGTCCACTTCCCTTGCCAGATGCCGTAGAACAAATTCATATGAAATGTTGCCTTCACCCATGTGAGTTACTCTCCTAACCTTGAAAATGAAACTGGCTTGTTCCCCTGCAGCTTCATACCTGCACACTGGCAGACTCAGTTCCCGCCAGCGGCTGTGACCCTCTGCCTGACACCTCCTCCACTCTGTCCCCCAGGTATAGATCTGTGAGAATCACAAAGCCTGCTGGTCCAGCACCCCAAAAACGTAAGGCCACTCAGTGCATGCACGCAGAGGGGAATGATGTGCCCAGGGTCATACCCTCCTCCCTGCTGAGTGTCCCTGGCACCTGCAGCCCCTCCTTACCAGCCCTGCTCTCTCGCCCTTCCACACCCCTTCTCCAGGCAAAGCTGGGCATGTGGCTCTGAGAGCTCAGCTTTTTAACTCTTCTGCTGTTTTCTCAGCCACACAGTTTCAGCGCATTACTTAAGCAATCACAGCCCTTTCCAAACTGGCACAGATCTGTGGTCTCTTCGGCGTGGTGGGTAGGTGAGTCTTTGCTGGAATGGAGTTTTACATTCTTCTTGTAACACACATGCCGTTTCCTTTCTGCAGCCTAAGCGAGTGCGCCGCCTGCTTCTCAGACGTGTCTAGGCAATTCTCCGATGAAATGACCCTTCACTGAGGAGCAGAACTTGCCACAGGCTCTGTAATTAGAACATTGCCAGCCTTAAAAAAAATCTTGATTTAAATTCCAGTTCTTTACAGGAATTAGTCTCTCTTGAAATGTAATTGGCTCTCCCAACGATTTCCTTTAAGCTAAGGGTGACATCTCTAAATACATTATTATGAGCAGACATATTGCTTAGTGCTCGCACTTCATTAAGCATTTGTTCTGCCCATTTAAAAATGGTCCTGGAGCCCAAATTAAGGTGTTAATAGAGTGGGCACTTGTAAGCTTGGGAAGCCCAGTCCTGACTGGAAGAGATGTGTTCAAGCCCTGAGAGCCCCTGTGGGAGCGACAGCGGCTAGGGGCGGAGCTGGAGCGGAAAGGCTGCAAACCTTCAAGTCTGCTTGGAGCTCAGGTTGGGGGAGTCTGCTGGAGGCCGTGGAGATGGGGGCAGGTGATTTGTCAGAAGCTCCAGCTTTCTACCTAAGGGACAGACACCCGATAAAGTGGACTGTGCTTTGGAAAATCTAAAGCATCCACACGTCTGGTGGCAGAATCACAGTAGAATCATAAAAGGCGTGGAACTGAGTGGGCAGGCAGAGGACAGGCTGGTGGAGGGGTGAGGGATCCAGTGTGGCTGCAGCCCTGGTGAGAGCTGGGAGAGGTCTGCTGGGGCTAGGCAAATGCTGGTGGGAGGACTGTGGCTTTGGCCCTCGTGAGCTGATGCAGGCAGGCTGCAAGGGCTGTGTGCTCTGATCTCTGAGAAACCCACCCACTGCTTTTCCTTGAGCAGACTTCAGGTGGCTCCTCCCAAGCAGGTCTGAAGCCAAGCATGGTGGACATAGACTGGGCCCTGCTCCATGGCATGCTCAGAGGAGCCGGGATGGTGGCTAAGTACCTACAGTTCAGGAAGGCATGCGTGTCCTCAGTGCCACCAGATGAAGGAAGGAGCTCTGCCTGTGGGAGCCTGGAAAACCACCCAGCAGAGGCAACACAGGCTGGACCTTGCAGGAGACAGGGTTTATAAAGAAGGGCAGGTAGTACAGACTTTCTGCCCACCTTCCAGTGGCTAAGCCAAGTCACATGGCTAACTGCCTGCAAGGGAGGCTGGGAAATGTAGTCCCTGGCTGGGTGGCCCCTTCCCAGTGACAGTTTCCTACTACTGAAAGGGAAGGACAGATCACTTGCCATCCCTGCCACACAGTTTCCTCCTCTGGAAACTGGGGGTGATGACCCCTGCCCTACCCACTTGTCATGGCATTGGGGACATGAACACACTTTGCACCTGTCAGGCAAGGCTTAAACAGGGATATGCACTGGTAATAGAAAAGAGGGACTAAGTTTTGTTTTGTTTTGTTTTGTTTTGTTTTGTTTTGTTTTGTTTTGTTTTGTTTTGTTTTTCTGAAGAAGTCCCTAGAAGCGCTCAGTGTTGGAATGCTCTCTTGTAGCAGTGGCGGCTGCTGCTGGTTCCGGGTCAGATGCCGGAATTGGGGGTGCGCTTGGGTGCAGCTGCATTTCATCTGGTCCTGGGCCTCGGTCCTGGCTTGGAGAGGTGCAGCTCACAGCCACTTCATGGCTGGGATCCCTTCTGTCCCAGACAGCTGAGGAGACCCTTGGCCTCAGCCTGAGTGTCAGGGGGGTAGTTCTGATAACTCTGTGTTTTGTTCACAGGAGCAACCAGGGTTTTATGCACATGAAACTGGCCAAAACCAAAGAGAAATACGTTCTGGGTCAGAACAGCCCTCCGTTCGACAGTGTCCCGGAAGTCATCCACTACTACACCACCAGAAAGCTACCCATCAAAGGGGCTGAGCACTTGTCCCTCCTCTATCCCGTGGCTGTGAGGACCCTGTGAGCGGACCAGACCTGCCCTGCTCTGTGACAGAGCCTGAGACTTGGAGGTGCCAGAGGCCCCCCACCAACCAGCCCAGCCACTGTTGCTGGCTGTGTCGTTTGTGTTGTGTGTATGGTACTAGCACACCACTGCATGTCTCTAGAATGCTGTTGCCACTTACGGGGGCTGGAGAAGGCCTGGATAAAGACAGAAGGGCGGCAACACACCACCCCAGCCCCCACCCCCACCCTCTCCTTGAGTTTCTGTGAATTAAAATATTTGCAAATCCAAAGAGATGCCTTCCAGGATGAACAAAGGCAGACCAGCTCCGAGGGGCGGGGTAGGGTGGGGCGGGAGCTCCCTGGCTGACATCTCTTTGTTCTCCAGCTGTCTCAAATTCACACCTCTGTACAGGGCAAAGTTTTCCCACAGGAGCCCCCCTACTGATGCTGGGAGCCAAATGCTGGTGCTTTGAGAGTCCCGGAGGCCCCGGGGTTCCCGCCCCGCTGGTGTGTATATGTGTGTCTGTGTGAGTGTGTGTGTGAGTACAGATGTGAGAAGGTGGTCACACACAGATGGGTAAGCCCACTGATCTACTTGTAGTCACTCAGTGTAATCATTAGGCTATCTTCAAGGAATCATTGTGCAGTCAAAAAGAGGATTCAATTATTTATGAATAGGGTGTGTAAATAAAATAGTCATTTAATATATAGCCTTATCCTTTTTTGATATACTGCAGAGGGTCTCTGAGGGGGCAGTTCTGGTTTCACTCCCAGAGCAAGGCGTGTCTCCTCTGGGCTTGCTGCTGTGGCAGGCCCCAGGGAGGGGAGGGAGGCCGAGGCCTCAGCTCCAGCCCTCAGCAGCTCTGGACACAAGAGCCGTCTGCTCTGACAACTGGGCTGAGGCAGTCGGTAGCACTCTGGGAGTCAACCCAGAGCTCAGAGTTCAGGCTTCAGCAGTGGACATAGTCAGGAGCCTCCAGTGTTGACCAAAAAACCAGTCTTTCCCTCCTGCAGTGGGACGTCTGTGTTGACACCCCCCCAACCCCTGGACACAGCACCCAGCTGGCTACAAAGGGCTCTCTCCCCACTATCTGTTAGCACCACCTGGGAGGTATTTGGCATGTAGGGAAAGGGAGACAGAGAAGGAACGTCATTTGCCCAAAGCCACACAGCTCACCAGCAGCAGAGCGGTTCTGCAGCCAATGCTCTTTCGTTGGTTCTGCATGGCCTTGCTGTCACCCTGCCCATGGAGGAGGGAGAATCCTGACCTCCCAGGGACATAGAGCCCTCAGTGGTCCACACTGCTTCCACACACAAGAACACCTACACACACACACACACACACACACACAGCCCTCAGTGGTCCACACTGCTTCCACACACAAGAACACCTACACACACACACACACACACACACAGCCCTCAGTGGTCCACACTGCTTCCACACACAAGAACACCTACACACGCACACGCACACGCGACCTCTCTCTTGCTTGCCATAGCAGGGTCCTCCCACACAGGCCAGGCAGCCCCGATGAGGCTAAGAGTTTCTCAGCTCTCCTGCTTTTTCCACCCACCCAGTAGCATGAAGATGTGGCTGCCCTCTCCTGAATGAGATACAAGGGTTCCAGAGCCTTCGCCAGGCACCAGCTGGTCTGAATGAACTAGAAGTTTGACGACTGTCATCCCTGGCCCACCTGGGCAGAGCACAAGGGGCCGAGTTTGAATGTCATCAGCAGGTTCAGACATCAGCGCTGCTCATGTCTTTAGAGACTGTTTGGAGGTGGTTCCAGCTCACTGTTCACATGCAGAGACACAGGCCCGGAGAAGGAGGACTCGCCAAGGCCACGTGTCGAGCTGGGACTGAGCCCTGCCCCTTTAGGTAGCTGCGTGGACTTCAGCGGTTTGTGCAAAGCCCTGCCCTTGGTGACCCGCCTTTAGTGACCAGTCTGCCTCTTGGGTCTTCCTCCCAGGCCTTGTCTGGCACGTCCACGTGGCCCAGCCCTCATAGAGACCACGCTGGCTGTGGCCTGGGTTTAATCTCTTAAAGAAGCCAATCCTTTCCTTGCCTGTTTGGCATTTCCTAAAACATCCCTCAATGAGGGAGGAAGGCAGGGACACCCTGGAACGATTCGTGCTTTCCTTTGGGGGAGTGGGAAGGTAGGTGGGAAATGACAAGATGAGTGAGGAGTTGGCACTTGGCCAAACAGAGGAGCCTGGACCCCAAGGCTTATTCTCAGAGGAGGCCCAAGAGAGGCTGAGGAAGAGGGGGAACAACCCTCCGGCGGGGGAGGAGGGTGAGACCTCACACTGGCAAGTTCAGGTCCAGCCACTTCCTGAGGCTGCTGGGTGGGGCCGCACCTCACGGTCCTTCCCTGTAGACCATCTTCCCGGGCACATTGCTCCTCAGAAAAGGCTCTGGGAGGGTCTCAGTGGAAGCTGGCAGCTGTGCCCTCTGGCCCTGACTTGGCCTCTTAGGGTATTCCTGGGACCCTCCCTCTGTCCCTGGCCTTCGTCTTCCTGAAGTTTCCCTGGGAGGCCCAACCTCCTGCCCCTCTCAGGGACAGAGGCCAGCAGAGGAGCCAGCTTACAGGATGGGAGCTGCTGAAAAGAATTTTTTTCCCTTAATTTTATGAACCTCTCCCTCTTCTTCCTCTAATTGTGACCGTTTCCTGTGTCAGCCTGTATTCATGTTTTCTTGGACATCTAACAATTGAAACAGCTTTTCCCTTTCAGAAACACTCACATTCAGGTTACTGGCTTTGGTTTGGTTTTTGTTTTGGGTTTGTTTTTTTTTTTTTTCATCTGCTGCCAATTAATTGGGGAAAAAATTGAGCTGGATTTCTTTGAGAGAAAAGAAAAGCTCCTGCCACACAACGTCGCGCCCTCGGCATTTTGTCTGAGAACCTCCAGCACTAGCGGCTGTTTCTGTGTCTCCCTTCTTTGCTGGCTTTATTATTGACCATAATGCCTGCCCACTTGAGCAACTCTGTCCTTGAGCGCTGAGGAGTCAAGGGCCCTTCTGGCAGCCCCCCAAACAGGATGGCGCCCACAGAAAGAAAGGAGGCTTTGTAGGGGAAGAGGGCCCCACCGCCTGCCAGTCCCGTCCTGAAGTCAGAAGAATGGCCCAGGCTGACACCCTCTCCTGGAGAGAGGCTCACAGCGTAGCTGTTCCCAGGAAAGGGGTGCAAAGACTCCGAGGCTTCAGGAGGCAGGCCCTGTCCTCACAGGGCGGCTGTGGGCCGGGGCCCCTCTGTGGCCTGAGAGTGAGCAGGAGGGAAACCTGAAGCAGCTACCCGCAAGGCGTCCGGTCAACAGGGTGGAGCTGCAGGCTCCCTCTGCCCATTCCCAGAACCAGCGGCCCCCTTTGTAAGATGCTGAACACGAAGTTCCGGTAGCTCCCCAGACGCTGTCTCAGAAGTGGTGATATCATTGACCAAGGGCCTGGCAAGGACCGGCAGCCAGGGTCCCCATTTGCTCTTGCAGCCCTAGGGACTGTGCAGGTAGAAGCCCTGCCAGCAGAGCAGGCTGGCGTTTGGTGTTGGCCCACAGACACCCGTGAAGGGTCATGGCCGAATCAGGCAGCTGTCCAGCCAACTGTCTCTCCACCCTTCCAGAATTGGTGATCAGCGAAGACCAAATTCGGCAAGCCATCCAGAGGGAGTGCAGGGCGCACAGTCTTAGATGTGGGCGCACCTCCCAGAACCCCACGGGGACTTGTTCACAGGCGCGCTTGCAGGAGGGCAAGCCCCTTGGTCCTGGAACACAGGTGCCCCTTGGCCTTTCCACCTCCCTCCTTGGGGCTGTTTGCATCCCTGCCAGGAGCCTTAAACCAGCCACCTACTGCTGAAGTCTCTTGTAACATTCCAAATCTATGTGACACACTGTATAATGATGAATATTTAATGTGAAGCTCTTAATATACTACAAGTGTCTTGTTTACCATTTGTCTTTTTTTTTTCTTTCTTTTTTTTTTGAGACAGGGTCTTTCTCTGTTACCCAGCCTGGGGTGCAGTGGCACAGTCTCCACTCACTGCAGCCTTTGCCTCCCAGGCTCTGGTGATCCTCCTACCTGAGCCTCCCACATAGCGGAGACTACAGACATGCACCACCATGCCCAGCTAATTTTTCCATTTTTAGTAGAGATGGGGTTTTGCCATGTTGGCCAGGCTACTGGTCTCACTCCTGGGCTTAAGGGATCCTCCCACCTTGGCCTCCCAAAGTCCTGGGATTACTGGCGGGTGCCTGGCCACACAGTGTCTCCTTTAAATGCACCTCCTTGAGCATGCATGATTTTTGTTTGTTTGTTTTTTAATGCAGTCATGTGCCCCAGGAATCTAGCTGGACTGCCTTCTGCTTGCAAAAGCTGAGCTCTTGCCATCAGCTTCCAAAGGTGGATTGTTAAAGGAAAAAGCAACCTTTCTGCTTCCTAATTATGAGGAAGAGAGAGGCCTAATGAGCTCAATGGAAATAAATGAATTCGTTCAGCAGACATTCAGTGAGTACCTACTGGTCCTCAGGTCTGGTGGATACAGTGGTGAATGGGACTCAGCCCCTGCCCTCAAGAAGTTTCCAGTGTGTAAAAACAACCCAAGGAGCTGTGGGATCCCAGATGAGAGGGAATTGAATCTGCTTGCAGCGGTCAGGGAAAGTTGGGCCTTGGGGGATGGTAGGAGTTCAGCAGAGATCCTGGCGGGCTGGATGGTCTATGCAGAGATAACAGGTGGTAGAATCATCAGGGTGAGTCCATCAGAGCCTAATGTGGTGCAGCCTGCCCTGGTGGGAGGTGGCCAGACTCCTGGGACTCCAGAGGCCTCATTCCGCAGAGGCAAATGAACAGGGCAGGGCAGGGAGGGTCTCCCCAAAGATGGGGAGATGCTGGCCACCTGTTTCCTAGAGGAGCTGAATTCTTAAGGAGAGAAGGGCAGGACACGAGTCTTGGCACAAAATCTGCCATTGTTTGCCTGCCACCATCGCCATGATGACAGCATTAGGCAGCCCAGGTCCACCTGGAAGGTCTGCGCCCAAGCCCCTCCTCACCTACACCTGAAGGGGCACAGCATTCCCCAGCATGTTGGGGGCCTGCTCTGGAGTGATTCCTCGACCCCCCCAACCCCCGCCCCCGCCTCCGCAGGAACTTAGTTGCCACTCCTCCCTCCCTTCTCCTTTTCAAGAATGTGGCTGTCTGTCTCCCCAGCTGGCCCCCTTCCTCCCCGACTCTCCAGGACTCCAGGGCTTTGGTTCACCTCTTCCCCTCTCCCCCACCTCCCCGATACATCCCAGTGTCCCAGAATCCACACCTCCAACTGTCAGGCTCCCTCAGAGCATTGACACCAACACCCCCATGCCCCAGCATACACATGCACGTGCACACACACACACCCGGGGAACGCCTGTGCTCGGGGAGGGCAAAGCCCTGGCACAGGGTCCTGGTGACAGAAAACATTCCTGAGCTTGGTCAGGACCAAGGGGCCACAGGCAATGCCAGTGCTCTGCCACCGGGAATTTCCTGAAGGGAGGGAGGAAAGGTCACCTCTAGAATGTGTTCTGCGTGGTGGTGGGTGGCGGTGGTGGCGGGTATTTCTCTTTCAGTTCAATTTAACACACATTGAGCATGAAACAGACAGGGCAAGCTGGTGACCAGGAGCAGGAGACTGAGCACAAGAAACCCCTTCCTCATCAGAGTCCACAGGAAGCGGTGGGTCGCCAGATGCCTTCATCCCTGCACAGAGAGCCAGCAAGGCGGGCCAGAAATGGAGGCCCAGACAGGGACAGAGGCATGCTCAAGGCCACACAGCAAGTCCCTCTCCACATGCCTTGGGGTGCTTGAGGGCGACCAGCTCCAAGGGTCGCCTTGGCCAGTGCAGCTCTGGGAAGACTAGGGTAGGGCTGGGGGATTCTTCTCAGAGTTGATGAGCCATTTCTTTCCTCATTGGCTCCCCCAAGTGGGAGCATCCCAGGCCTGTAGTGACTGGTGTCATCTCTGGCTTGGGGGACAGTTTCCTAAGCTGTGATCTGACCAGGATGGCAGGAAGCCACCAGTGTGGCTCTAGTGCCCTCGTGTGGTTTTCTTTAGTATTGCAGCCAGTCCCAGGGAGCAGAAATGCCACCTCCAAGTCACCCTGTCAGTTACAGAAGGAGAACTTCTGCAGGCCCAGAGAAGGAAGAGGAAGGCATGTAAACAGATAAACGGCAGGCAGTGCGGAGTGATGAATGATGGGTGCTCCAGCAGAAGAGACAGTAGAAGTGGCATCTGAGCCAGGCCTCAACACGCAGGGAGTACGGGCATCCTAGGCAAAGGAAACAACTTCAGCAAGAGCTGGGAGGCTCCCTCTGACTCCCGATCCAAGCTTTTCCCACTGCAGTGTACTCTAAAGTCAAGCCCATTCATGCCCACTGGGAAGGGAGGTCAGGCCGAATCAGAAGGGCTCAGTACGGAACAATTTTATGCAATATTATTTCAAAGTTACTGACTTCCAATTATAAAATTAATGTGTACTTTGTGGCCTGGCGCAGTGGTTCACACATGTAATCCCAGCACTTTGGGAGGCCAAGGCAGGCGGATCACTTGAGGTCAGGAGTTCAAGACCAGCCTGGCCAACATGGCGAAACCCCGTCTCTACTAAAAATACAAAAATTAGCCAGCCATGGTGGCTGGCGCCTATAATCCCAGCTACTCAGGAGGCTGAGGCAGGAGAATCACTTGACCCCAGGAAGCAAAGTTGCAGTGAGCCGAGATCCTGCCACTGCACTCCAGCCTGGGCAACAGAGCAAGACTCCATCTCAAAAAAAAAAAAAAAAAAACCACACAAAGTTTGTGCTTGTGGCTGGGCACGGTGGCTCACACCTGTAATCCCAACTCTTTGGGAGGCTAAGGCAGGCAGATCACTTGAGGCCAGGAATTCAAGACCAGCCTGGCCAAAATGGTGAAACCCCATCTCTACTAAAAGTACAAAAATTAGCCGGGTGTGGTAATGGGCACCTGTAGTCCCAGTTACTTGGGAGGCTGAGGCAGGAGAATCGCTTGAACCCAGGAGGCGGAGGAGCCAAGATCGGGCCACTGCACTCCAGCCTGGGTGACAGAGCAAGACTCTGTCTCAAAAAAAAAAATTTTTTTTTACTTGTATTAGTAATGGAAATTTGTATTTCAGGAAAACATAAAGAAGAAAATAAAAATTACCCTAAACTCAAAGAACAGTACATTCACGTTCTGAAGTATCACCTCAGTCTTTTTCTCTATGCACATATATAATTATTTTAAATTAAAATTGGGCTCAAGCCATGTTTACATAGTTCTATAGCCTCCATCTTCTGCTTAACACAGTGTCGTGTCCCTTTTCCTCTGTTATTAAATCTCCTACAATATGATCTTTTTTTAAATAGCTGTATCGTATTTTCTACCTAAATTTTTTTTTTTTTAAAAAACAGAGTTTCACTCTTGTCGCCCAGGCTGGAGTGCAGTGGCATGATCTCAGCTCACTGCAACCTCTGCCTCCTAGGTTCAAGCGATTCTCCTGCCGCAGCCTCCCAAGTAGCTGGGATTACAGGCGCCTACCACCATGCCCAGCTACTTTTTGTATTTTTAGTAGACATGGGGTTTCACCATGTTGGCCAGGCTGGTCTGGAACTCCTGACCTCAAATGATCCGCCTGCCTTGGCCTCCCAAAGTGCTGGGATTACAGGCGTGAGCCACTGCACCTGGCCTCTACCTTAATTTAACTTATTCAAATTTTTGTATAACCAGCTCTGCAGGGAATTGTTCAGAAATCTTTATCCATATTTCTGGTTTTTTTGTAAGGAGAAATTAATAGACGGGGCATTATGAGGTCAAAGGTTAGGTACATCTTCAAGACTTCCTGTCCTCCAGAGATGCGTCAGTTCCTCTTCCACTGCTGTGTCCGGGAGTGCCCCCACAGAAAAGCTGTCCTGTTACCTTTAAAGACTTTTAGCAACTTGGACCTTGCCTAAAACATGAGGCACACTGTAAGTAGCTTTTCTCTTCAGGGACAGCATGAATTCAGGCTACCCATGGGGTTGGACAGGAGACTGGGCTCTGCATGTAGGGTGAGTAGTTGTCCCTATAAGAGAAGCTTTTCAGGGTGCAGGACTCTGAGGGCTAACACCAGGATGGTCCCAGCAAGCCGGAACAGTTGTCCTTTTACCCCAAGGGCAAGCCCCTTACCTCCCATTCAGTAGACCCTCCCTCTGCCCCTGTGAGAGAGCCAGGGTCAGGGGCTGGAGCTGGGGCTGGGGAAACCCAGAGAAGCTCAGAAGGAGCCCTGCCCTCCTCAGGTCCAGGACGCAGGTGAGCAGAGAAACAGCCATCACCCAGGGGGAACTTAGTCTAATTCCGTCCCTTTCCAGCTGTGTGACCTGGGCAAACTGCAAAAGCTTCCGCTTCCTCTGCTGCAAAGTAACACAAAACCAGCAGCCTCACAGGGTTGCTGCAAAGATTACACGCGGTGTTGAATGACTGCCCTTAGCAAGGCTTAGCGTCATCAACCTTCAGAGGTCAGCTAGGATGAGAACAAAGTGTGATGGCAGAGGCCAGTGTAGCCACAGGATTTCAAAGCAAAGAGGGTCTAGGGTGCCAGAAAGGCTTCCTGTGGGAGGCAAGAAGTGGAGTCTATTTTATAAATAAAAAATGCTCCAGCCTCACTGGACATCTCCTGAAGTTGAGACCACAGCTCTTAAGATCTTCTTCCTCTCCAGCTGGACGTCCCAGAGCAGTGCTCACAGAGTTCTCTCCATCCCCTTTCTCAGCATCCTCTAACATCCCATCTTTCTCTGTTATTTAAATTAATTCTAACACACTATAGTTATTATCTAAATAATAAGCATCTGTTGGCCAGGAGCGGTGGCTCATGCCTGTAATCCCAACACTTTGGGAGGCCGAGGCAGGTGGATCACATGAGGTCAGGAGTTTGAGACCAGCCTGGCCAACATGGCGAAACCCTGTCTCTACTAAAAATAGAAAAATTAGCCAGGTGTGGTGGCAGATGCCTGTAATCCCAGCTACTTGGGAGGCTGAGGCAGGAGAATCGCTTAAACCTGGGAGGCGGAGGTTGCAGTGAGCCAGCATGGCACCACTGCACTCCAGCTTCGGCAACAGAAAAAAAAAAAAGCATCTGTTTTGTTTACTATTTAAATAATTACATTTATTTATGTCAATGTTGAACCTATTTATTGTCTTATTGTTTAAATGTTAAATCTGTGCAGCAGCTTTATTCTTTAAATATTAAACATGTATTGTGTTCATTATCTATTGTCTGTCTCCAACCCCTAGAACGGAACCAGAATGCAGACTCCACACAAGCAGGGATCTAGGACAGCTGCTGGCATACAGTAGGTGCTCAATAAGTATTTGTTAGCTGAAGTAACAATGATAAAAGATCCTATCTGTGGCGGGTTTACTCTATGTGCGCCTCACATTGTACATGCATTGGTCTCCCACAATGGGAGTCCTGCTGTGCAGATGAGAAACTGAAGTTCAGGCCTGGTGTGGTGGCTCATGTCTGTAATCCAAGTACTTTGGGAGGCCGAGGAGGGAGGAGCATTTGAGTTCAGGAGTTCAAGACCAGCCTGGGCAACATGGAGAAAAACCCATCTCTACAAAAAAAAAAAAAAAATACAAAAATTAGCCAGGTGTGGTACTGCACACCTGTAGTCCCAGCTACTTGGGAGGCTGAAGTGGGAAGATCACTTGAGCCCAGGAAGTGGAGACTGCAGTGAACTGAGATCTTGCCACTGCACTTCAGCTTGGGCAACACAGGGAGGCCCTGTCTCAAAATAAACAGGCCGGGCATGGTGGCTCACGTCTGTAATCCCAGTATTTTGGGAGGCCAAGGCGGGCGGATCACTTGAGGTCAGGAGTTCAAGACCAGCCTGGCCAACGTGGTGAAACCCCCCTCTCTACTAAAAATACAAAAATTAGCCAGGCATGGTGGCAGGTGCCTATAGTCCCAGTTACTTGGGAGACTGAGGCAGGAGAAGTGCTTGAACCCAGGAGGTGGAGGTTGCAGTGGGCAGGGATTTCGCCACTGTACTCCAGCCTGGGCAACAGAGCGAGACTCCGTCTCAAAAAATAAAATAAAAATAAAAAATAAACAAAAGAAGTAAACAAAATATATCAGAAAAGAAAAACTGAGGTTCAGAAAGGTGAAGCGATGCTAGGAAAAGCAGAAGTTGGATTCAGTGGTGGAGGCCCAGGGGGAGGTCATAGCCCAGAGGTGAATGGGATCTAGAGAGAAATTGCATGGTCCCTTCTGCCCCAAGGACAAGAGAGAAGGGTGGCATTTTGTGTCCCTGAGCACCACTGCCCCCTCTATACCGGAAGGAGGATGAGCTTCCATCGCACTGGATCTGCCATCATGGGGAACCTCCCTCAGGGTCTTGGAACATGGTCACCAGGAAGGACCCTCATCCTGTAGATGGAGATATTGAGGCTGGTGTGGGGCTATCCAGTGACATCACTAGGAAGTGGTGGATCAAGGATGCAAACCCAAGTATTCTGACCTTGCAGCATGCTACATTGAGTTCAGTGTTTCCCAACTAGCCTCACCTAAGGTTTACACATGGTTCTTATAAAAATACAAATTCCTAGGACCTCTGCTTGGAGATTTTTATTCAGGAGGTCTTGGGTCAGCCCTGGAAGCCGATATTTTTCACAAGTTCCCCATGGGTGTCTTATGATGAGGGAGCTCAGGAGATACTCCCCTGGGGTCAAGGCCAGGCTGCCCACCGCCCTGCAGCTCACCATCCATCTGGGCCTTTGAACAAGTGCCAGGAAAAAGGAAAGCATCAACTATCACACTGCGCATTTGTGGCTAGCTCCATCCCCCAAAACAATAGGAGTGGCAGAGTCCCAGCCTCACCTCTTACTGGGTACATAGCTCAGATAGGTCATGGGACTTCTTTGAGGACACAAAGTATGTGAAAATCTGAGGAAATGACATATCGTGTGGCTGCTTGGGAAACCCACACAGTATTGTGCAACTGCTTCTTGTTTCATTGACTTGGCCCTTGGTAGGTAAAAATGTATTTGTATTTCACAAGTATGTGTCACTCAGACAACAAGTAAGGTGTCCCTGACCTTACCCAGAGGTCACCAATCTTTCTGAGCTCTGGGACTTATCAGGGGGCATAAACTTTGCCTGCTGGTGTGCTGGGAGAAAAAGCCGGGGTACCGAAATGATGATAGGGAAAAAGCCACCTGGTGTCTTCCTTCTTATACGCTTTTTCTCATCCCATGTTTTTTCTGGAACCCACCTTATTTGAATCCTAGCTTTCCTTTACAGATCACCTTTCCCAAGTAGCCTTCCCTGATTGCAGCTGGTACAACTTCCCTCTCCTATCAACACTCAGAGCACTTGGTATGTGCGGCTCTCAAGCAATGCTGATAATTTTCCTTAGGACTGTTTCCCCTCTGAGCTACAGGCTCATTCACTTACACATTCCTGAGCCCTGTAGGACCCTGTGTTTCAAACCACAGGTCACTATAATGGGTCAGGATGTCAATTTAAAGCTATAATTTCCCAAAATTGCCTGAGAAGAATCAGCCAGGGCTAGCGTTAAATATACACAGGCCAACTGGCCTCTCTCCTGGGGATTCTAATTTAGTCTGTCTTGGAACTGATTATATATATATATCATATATATCATATTTGTGTATATATCGTATGTGTGTATACATCATGTGTGTATATATATCATATGTGTGTATATATCATGTGTGTATATATCTATCATATATGTGTGTGTATATATCATATGTGTGTGTGTGTGTATATATATCATATATATATATATATATGTTGGGTTTTTTTGAGTTAGGGTCTAACTCTGTCTCCCAGGCTGGAGTGCAGTGGTATGATCACAGCTCACTGCAGCCTCAACCTCCCAGACTTAAGCAATCCTCCTGCCTCAGCCTCCCAGGTAGCTGGGACTACAGATGTGTGCCACCACGCCTGGCTAATTATTTTATTGTTTATAGACAGGGTCTCACTGTGTTGCCCAGGCTGGTCTCAAACTCAAGTGATCCTCCTGCCTCAGCCTCCCAAAGTTCTGGGATTACAGACATGAGACAGATCTATTTTTTAACCAGACCTCTAGGACCTAGAATCTAGGTCAATGCTTTTCAATCTGTAATGTGCACACAGCACACCTGGTGAACTTGTTAAATACCAATCCTGGTTTACTGGGGCCAGAATTCTGCATTTCTAACACATTTCTGGGTGACTCAGTGCTGGTGCTGTCCCTAAGTGTATGGCCCATAGGTAGTTTGCCCAAATTCAAGAGATTCTTGTCTTCAGGCACATTGGGGAAGCAAGAATTGAGCACTGTTGTTCTCAACCTCAGCACACCTGGGAAGCTTTTAGACTATACTAAGGTTCAGGTCCCACTGCAAACCAATTAAATCAGAACCTCTGGGGCAGGGGAATGGGGCCGGGGAGTGGGGCGGGGGGTGGCTGTTGTTTTGTTTTCAAAGCTTCCCAGATGATTCTAATGTGAAACAGGGCTAAGAATCACTGATTCAGTGGGGCCCCACCACCATTAAAATGAATGAATGAATAAACTGAAGAGAACAAACAATCTCCCAGGCTGGCAGGGTAAACCCTGGGTCTCTGTTATATGTTATTAATACAGATGCACGTGAGTTGCTGGATCAGAGCAGGTTTGGACATGAATGAAGCAGAAAGGGAGAAGGTCCTGGAGTTCACAGACCAGCCATGGGGACAGACTGCAAGGACCTGAGGTGGGGGCAAGGGAGGGTGGGGCTGACAGCACTGAGGGGCTCTGCAGCAGGACGTAGTGAGTTCAGATGGGGCAGCAGTGACCAGAAGCCTCTGAACTGAGCCATGCAGGAGGAACAGGACATTGTTATGAAGCAAGCAAGACCTTTTAGGCACAGAGGACAAAAAATACCCAAGCGTTGGGGGACGTGAAAAGAATGCAGCAAGTTCAGGGAAGGGAACACCAAGGGGCTGGCTGGCCCTTGGCCATTTGGTACTGGGGGTGTGAAGGGGAGTGGCAGAGATAGTCACTCACAGTAGCTGATACTCCACTGACAGCTTGCGTAAGGCTGTTTTCGTGCACCTAAGAGCCAATGAAGTCTGAGGGCACCAGACAACCTTCTAGAAAGCATTTTTTGAGGGGAGGAGTGGAGGGTGATTAAGCAAAGATCCACCAGCAACCTTCTTATGGCCCTTTCCCCCAGGAACCCAGGCCCTGCCTTCCAACAGCTCTGCTCTCCACCCGCATTTCATTTCGGCAAACATCTCCTAGGCGCCCTTTTTGCCAAGCACTGAGTTGGAGAGCCAGGAAAAAGCCAGACAGCTCTGCCCTCATGAGCTGGCGGTGGGAAAGATCACACTGTCATGAGTGACTACAACATAGGACAGGATGTCAGAAGCGCCCCAAACTTTGGGGCATGGGAAGGCAGGGGCAAGGACAGTCAATTTTGCCTGAGATGATCAGGGAAGCCTTCTAGGAGGGAGAGGAGGCAAAAGGACCTTGAAGGGCTATTTGGTGAAGGGCTAACATGTATCAGTGGTGAAAGGGGGAAACAGGCTTAAGGAACACAGGATTTGCAAAACACTGAGACTGCATATGGCTAAAGCACAGAATATAGTTGGGGTTGAGGTGGACAGACTGGCAAAAGGGCCAGGACAGGACAGCCCCGTGCACCGAGTTAAGGAGTTTGGATTTACTGGGGGAACCAAGAGGGAACCAAGGGGGAACCATTGGAGATTTTTAAGCTGCGGGATGACATGATCACAGCTGGGTTGGAGGATATCTGGCAGCTGACCTAGTGGTTGGAGGTATGGAATGCAGGAATGGGTGGATGAGGACAGAAATGAAGGGCTAACTTTAAGATGGATCTGGTATCCAAAAATAGAGGGTTTTCATCCCCAACATTCATATGCCCAAGAAGAGCCAATGAAGGGCCTGGGGGTTTCTGACAAGGAACTAAGAGCTGGAGGGGCAGAGGACTGTGCTGTGGCCTGCAGCAGCATAAAAGAAGCAGACTGGGCTCAGCTCCAGACCTCAGTTTTCCCGTTAGCCTGGGATTTTCTGAGTCTGGTGTGCCCCAATTGTGTGTTTAATTTCAGTCTTTTCCTTCTTGTTCAGGTTTTACCGCAGGAGAATAACCTCTCCATTCTAATCTGAAATTAATTATTTATGCTTATGAACACGCTGGATGCCTGCCTGGTTTATTTATTTTTCAAATAATGCATCTGAATAGGCATTCACACAAGACAGGGCAAACATAATTTTGAGGCAAAGGCCCTTTCCAACTGTTGCCCGATTAACTGTTCTAAGCCATTGTGTAGCCTTGTCCTTATCCTGCGGAGTCCAAAATTTATCCCTCGCGTACTAATTAGATGGCAGGTGTCTGTGTCTGACAGTCAAGATTCGCATTATCCAGCCCCACCACCTGACCCTTACAATCTTATCTCCTGCTGCTATGACTTTCTCCACTGGGCCAAATTCCACTCATCCATCCTCCAAGGCCCAGTTCAAACGTCTGCTCTGTGAAGCCATCTCTGGTTCTCCCTCGAGGGGGGAGGTCCCCTCATGCTTCTGAATTTCCAGTCTTTTGTTGTTGTATCCTTCATCAGACGCTAAGCTCCCCAGGACCTGGCACGCAGTAGGTTCCTCAATGGAGCGTTTGCTGGAATGGGGGAGGGTGGTCTCCAGCTTCCCGAGAGGCACCTAAGCACGCCAGCCAAAGTGGGGCTGGGCAGAGACCAGACCCGCTTTTGGAGTCAGTGTCTACAAAGTGCTCTCGGGGGAAGGGGGCACGCGGGGAACGTCGCCCACCCGGAGCCGATCCCCCCAAGAACGCTTCACTCGGGTGGGGTTACTGCTTGGGCTCGCCCCAAGCACAGTGCGCACACTTCACACATCCGCAAGCCTCCTGAAACGCCTCTCCCCTCAGGCCGACCTTTCTGTTTCCTTCAACGCCTCCCATCTGTTGTGTGCGTTCCAGTTTCCAACTCAGAGTCAGAACCATCATTTCCAAAGACTCCTGCAACAGCCCGAGGACGCATACAAGGCATGGGTTACTTTTCAGACGGAGATTTGGGGCTCAGGGTCCAGCGACTCACCCAAGGTCACTCTCAAGAAGTATGAGGGCTATGACTTTGACCCAAGCCTTCTAACTCCCCGGGCAGCGCTCCTCCCAAGCCCCCCGCAAGCTGTCTGAGCTTCAAAGGAAAAAGTTTAAAAGTGATCCATACGTCCCAAAGCACGCACAAAGCGTTCTTCTGTAAACTGCGGCATGGGTCGCTGATAAAAGGTCCCTCTGAAGGTTTGAAGATACTCAACAAGGCTCCACAGAGGGTACTTTGGAGTTTTCCGCGAAGGCGCTCGCCCCGCAGAACCGACAAGGCCCCTAAAACCGACAATGCCCAGACGCCCCCTGCAGGCAGCGCGCTAGAGAACGCGTTGGCTGTTTCTGGCACGCTGAGGCCACCGTACGGCATCAAGGGTGAAGCATGGTGGCTAGCGGAGCCCGCATCCTGACAGGTGTGCTGGCGTGGCCCTCTACCTGCCCCGCCGCGGCGGCCTGCGGCCAGGAGAAGTAGGCTGGCGACATCTGGCGGGCCGCGGGCCGAGGGAGGGGAGGCGGGGCGGGGCGGTGTCTCCCTCACGTGACCCCAACAGCGCCCAGCGCGTCGCGCTGCGCCCCAACCTCGGGGTCGGTCACAGTCTGCGCCTGCGCGGGCCCCGGCTCGCTAGCCGTCCTGCGGGACGCCGGCGCTGATGGGTGAGTGTGGGACGAGCGTGGGGAAGCACCGGGCTTTCTTCGCATGAGGTTGGAGGGAGGGGAAACGCGCTGAAGGGCCCGCTGGGGCAGGCTGCCGCCCTGGGGGCCCATCCCTGTCTTCTGCGCGCTCCGGCTGCCCTGGCCCGGTCCCTGCGGGCCCCACCCAGGCGGCGCGGGCGGAATCAGTTCTGAGCCTCCTCGGCTCCGGGCTCCCCCGCCTGCCGCGGGTGTTTGTCCGGCTGCTGGGCGACCTTTCCCGCGAAGGCGCTGTCCCTTCATTCGGGCGCGCCCTGGGCTGGGGAGGCACCTCCCTGGTGCACAGGAACCGCAGGGGCGGGGAGGAGCCGGGAGCTGCCTGCGCCCGGGGGACAGCGGGGATGGCACCGCGCAAGGGCCTCTGCGTCCCGGGAGACTGGGATTTCGGCCTCACCTCGGGACCCCTGACTGTGAAGTGTCAGAAACGGAAGAGGACTTAGTGATCTTGTCCAACCCCCTCCCCGCCTTTCACAGGTTGGGGAAATGGACGCCTGGAGAACGGTAAGTTCAGCTACATAGCCTGGCAGTGCTTGTTCTGCGACAGCATATTGCATCGCGTTGTAGGAAGCTCACTTGTACAAGGATTTTCGGGGACGATGGTGTTGGTGGTGTTAGTCTCCATCCATTATTTGGTGTTCAGTTTAGCTAGATGGAGTATGTCAGCACCTCAACTTCCTGCAAAACCTTTGTTTTGCATCTCACAGCTCTACCTAGCTGATCTTAATTCCCACCTTCTGTTTTTCTCTACTTGTAATCTCTGAAACAGAAGCCCTTGAAATGTATAGTGACCTTGCCATTTTGAGCCGCCTCTGCCCGTGCTTTGAAAGGATTCCATAGGATCAAAAGGTGCTAGGACTCTTGAGGTCCCATAGTGGTTTAGAGCACAGGTTACCGCTTTGGAACTGGAATCACCCTTAGCGCATCTCAGGGGAAAACAAGCTAGGAGTTGACTCATCTGATCTCTCGTTTGGTAAATGAAAGCAAACTCAGATCAGTGGATTTTAAAATCAGATATTGCTTTGTCTTTATATTGGCAAGCTAGTGTCGTAACTAGGACTAGACCCAGGCTGATCTTGTTCTGAATGCTGACTCAGACCTGCTGACTAGTGGAAATTCACATCCTTTGAGAATTGGAGTCACCCTCTCCCCAGTTTTTGCAGAGACCTTTGTGCTAGGATCATATCTGTATCATGCTGATCCATGTAGGCTGTAAATTATAATAAGGTTTTAGACTTTACACTGTTTTCTTAGTCACAGAAGCTTGACACTTGTAGTTGCTTGAAAATCAAGTTCATTAACTGCTCCCTTATGATGAGATAGTTTTACGTAGCAAACAAGCGTAAAGTTATGGTAAATAAATTTTGCAATAAATTGCAAAGAATTATCCACATTAATGAATAAAAATATAAAGATCAGTTTAGCAAAGAAATTTAACCATGTTCACAGTATAGGTAAACATGCAAAAGTCTAAACTGTACTACCAAATAATGCTGTGCACATTATCCTTCTATTGCTAAATTAAGAACATATTCACACCATCCTGGTGTGTAGGATTAAACTAGAGAAAAAGCTTTAAATCTGTAAAGTCCAGGAGGGTTTCATAACATTTTTTCCCCCATCTAGGCCTATTTTTTAAATCTGAGAATCTCAATGTACAGTAATGTTCTTAAAATAGTTGGATATGGTGGTCAATAAATGGTTAACTTCTGTTAGCTGTAGTTTTCTGCTTGTTTAATAACAGTCCCCATTCTCACACAGAGTCATAAATAAACTAACCTTTATTTGCAAAATTTCAGAAAGTAATACAAGTAACATTCCAGTAAAAGTGAACATGGACAAAATTTTTATTGTTGTTCAAGTACACAAATAACTTGGCTTGTACTGTCAAGGAGCATGTGTAAACAGCTTGTAGGTGGTGACTTTAGAATTTAAAATATTTTGTGTGCTCCGTATGTAAAAATAAAATGGTTTTGACATTCATAAATTGTCACAATATCATGTAATCATGTACATTAATCTAAATATTCTTGTTGATTTAACATTGTTTAATTCTGAAACTGAAGAAGTGCAAAGCATTACATAGGTATCAAGCATTTCTAGACTAAGTTTTAGGACTTCAAATATTGATTAATCTTAGCTTGTAAGTGTACTAATAAGAGTTTTTAACTCATACCTATCAGCTGAATCAGTAAAAAGTAAGGATGTAGTAGAACTAATAATTATCAAACTCAATACCCTAACAGACTTCAGTGTCTAGAACATATCTTGAAGTTAATCATATTAAGCCCCAAAACTCTGTACATTAAGAAAGGGAGAGGAGAGAGGGAACAGATGATATTCTGGAACCTTTTTTTTCCCTTTAATCTTATTTTTACTGTGAATAACAACACTAGACTCACTGAAGATTTTGGGACACTTACTAGCAAGCATAGTTAAGACAAAATGCCAACTCTCTTAAATAGTAATAAGAGTTTTGCTCAAAGAAAAGTACACAGCCTTAAACAGTCAAGTTATGAAATAAAGGATAAAAATAGTTGTCTCACTTAAGAATTACAAGAAAATAAGCCAGGCACAGTGGCTCACACCTGTAATCCCAGCACTTTGGGAGGCCAAGGCAGGCTGGATCACTTGAGCTCAGGAGTTTGAGACCAGCCTGGCTAACATAGTGAAACCCCGTCTCCACTAAAAATACAGAAATTAGCCGGGTATTGTGGCATGCCTGTAATCCCAGCTACTTGGGAGGCTGAGGCAGGAGAATCGCTTGAACCCAGGAGGTGGAGGTTGCGGTGAGCCAAGATTGCGCCACTGCACTCCAGCCTGGGCAACAGAGTGAGACTCTGTCTCAAAAAAAAAATTTTTTTTTTAAACTAGGTGAGCATGGTGGCTGATGCCTGTAGTCCCCTTTGGGAGGCCAAGGCTGGCAGATGATGTGAGCCCAAGGAGTTTGAGACCAGCCTGGGCAACGTAGAGAAACCCTGTCTCTACAAAACATACAAAAATTAGCTGGGCTTGGTGGTGCGGGCCTGTGGTCCCAGGTACTCAGATGGCTGAGGTGGAAGGATTGCTTGAGCCCAGGAGGTCAAGGCTGCAGTAAGTGCAGTGAACTGCGAGGTAGCCACTGCATTCAGCCCAGGTGACAGAGCAAAACTCTGTCTCAAAAAAACAAAACAAAACTGAGAAATAGTAAGATTGGTAATTCACAAGCTGCTGCTTTGCTAGGAGTGGTAAGGTTATAAATTAGATAAACTGATAACCCTGCTCAAGAAAAAAGGGAACATAAGTACACAGGTTAGAAGTAATTTTTTAAAACAGCAAGTGTTGGATGGGTGCAGTGGCTTGTAAATCCCAGCACTTTGGGAGGCCAAGGCAGGAGTTCAAGACCAGCCTGGGCAACATAGCAAGGCCCCCTCTCTGCTAAAAAAATGTTTTTTAAAAGTTAGCCAAGCATGGTGGCATGCGCCTGTGGTCCTAGCTACTCAGGAGACTGAGGCCCCAGGGGTCCAGGCTGCAGTGAGCCATGATCGTACCACCGTACTCCAGTCTGGGTGACAGAACAAGACCCTGTCATTTTTTTTTTTTTTTCTGGATAGAGTCTTGCTGTGTCGCCCAGGCTGGAGTGCAGTGCTGTGATCTTGGTTTACTGCAACCTCTGCCTCCCGGGTTCAAGCAATTCTCCTGCCTCAGCCTCCCAGGTAGCTGGGACTACAGGTGCGTGCCACGATGCCTGGCTAAATTTTGGATTTTTCGTAGAGATGGGGTTTCACCGTGTTAGCCAGGATGGTCTCGATTTCCTGACCTCATTCATGATTCGCCTGCCTTGGCCTCCCAAAGTGATGGGATTACAGGCGTGAGCCACCACACCTGGCCAAGATCCTGTCTTTAAAAATAAAAATAGGCTGGGAGCAGTGGCTCATGCCTGTCATCCCAACACTTTGGGAGGCCAGGGTGGGAGGAACACTTGAGCCCAGGAGTTTGAGACCACCGTTGACAACATAGTGAGACCCTGTCTCTACAAAAAAAAAAAAAAAAAAAAAAAAAAAAAAGGCTATATAAATTAAACCAGAATTTTTTTTTTTTTAAGGAAATCCAGTTATCAAAATTGACTCAAGAAGAGAGAACCTAACAGAACAATAACAATGGAAGAAATTGGGAACATTATCACAAAGCTATCATCCTGCCAAACTCCAGGCTCAGATGTCACAGGTGAATGCAATTAAACTTCAAGGAACACATCATTTTGATAAGATTTAAATTGTTCTACAGTATGATGGGGGTGGGGGGGCGGGGAATCACATATTCTTTTTACAAAGCCAGTGGAACATTGACACTGGCACTTGATGTGAAGATAGTATTAAAACTGAAAACTTATCTGAGTGCCAAGGCTTATGCCCATAATCCCAACACTTTGGGAGGCTGAGGCAGGAGGATTGCTTGAGCCAAGGAGCTTCAGACCAGCCTGGGCAACACAGAGTGACCCTGTCTCTACAAAAAAGTGAAAAATTAGCCAGGCATGGTGGCGCACGTGTGTGGTCCCAGCTGGGAGAATTGCTTAAGTCTAGGAGCTTGAGGCTGCAGTGAGCCATGATTGTACCACTGCACTCCAGCCTGGGTGACAGAGTGAGACCCTGTCTTGTAAAAGAAGAAAAAAAAAATGACAACATGATCTGTTATGAACAGTAATATGAAATTTTAAAATATTAGTAAATGGAAGTTAGCAGTATGATGAAAGAATATTTCACCACGGCCAAGTAGCATTTATCCACATATTGCAAGAGTGAGTAATCACCAAGAAATATGCTAACATAATACACCAAATGAATAAGTCAGAAAAGATAGAAAAGAATAATAAAATAGCTTGCCCTTGTTGAGTTCCTACTGTACACTAGACTGCTGTCCTGGGCACTTTACATGTTGTTAGCTCAGTTAATTGAGCTAGTCTATGAGGTAGTTAATAGCCACGTTTTATAAAGAGAATAAGCTATAGAGTGACTTGTCAAAGGTCACACAGTACATGTGTGGTGGAGCTAGGATTTAAGTAGGTAATTAGTAGGTTCCAGAGGCTGTACTCTTAAATATTACACTGGCTGTCTCCAGTGTTTGTATGATCATCTCAGGAGCTTTCTAAAAGCATTTGACCAAAGTTTAAGATAGACTCTTGAGTTATTGGCGGTGGGAAGGTGTGGAGGTGATTGAACTTCAGTACAACAATAATAAATGTATATTTCCTTCCCATGTTTGAAAATTCTCTCAGTTTGACTTATCAGTTGACTAGAAAAATGAAATTCATTTTTATTTTATTTATTTATTTATTTTTGAGACAGAGTCTTGCTGTGTCGCCCAGGCTGCAGTGCAGTGGTACAATCTTGGCTCACTGCAACCTTGCCTCCTGGGTTCCGGCAATTCTCCTGCCTCAGCCTCCCAAGTAGCTGAGATGACAGGTGCATGCCACCATGCCCGGCTAATTTTTTTTTTTTTTGAGATGGAGTTTCACTCTTGTTGCCCAGGCTGGAGTGCAATGGCATAATCTCAACTCACTGCAACCTCCGCCTCCGAGGTTCAAGCAATTCTCCTGCCTCAGCCTCCCGAATAGCTAGGATTACAGGCATGCGCCACCACGCCTGGCTAATTTTGTATTTTTAGTAGAGACAGGATTTCTCCATGTTGGTCAGGCTGGTCTTGAACTCCTGACCTCAGGTGATCCACCCGTCTCAGCCTCCCAAAGTGCTGGGATTACAGGCGTGAGCCACCGCACCCGGCCACCCCCGGCTAATTTTTGTATTTTTAGTACAGATAGGGTTTTGCCATGTTGGCCAGGTTGGTCTTGAACTTCTGACCTCAAGTGATCTGCCTGCTTCGGCCTCCCAGAGTGCTGGGATTACAGGTGTAAACTACTGCTCCTGGCCTGGAATCCATTTTTAATGGGAAGCACAATTTCATAGTTAATAGTTGGGGGCAGGAGCTTAAGTTATAATTGCAGCTCCACTAATTCTTAGAATGAATATAGATTGAAGTCTTGGGGTTTTTGGCATGATTTGTGAGATGAAATTATGTGATAGCAGAAGGAAGGCCTCCTGCACTTCATGTTTACAGTAGAGTCCTACAGATGGGCAGGGGTAGATGATAAATAGGGAGGAGGGATACTTGAGTGGAATAAATCATATATGACTCAGCTGATCAGTGAACGTTTCTGTGTCTTGATGATTTGTTTCCCTGTGTAAACTTGAAAACTGCTAGGACCTGGATTATGAACACTCAGATGACAAGAACTTCCTGTTTAAAACCGAAAGCCAACTTAATGATAATCCCTAGGAGAGTTCCCACAGGTGTCAAGAAAAATATAAGAACTATAATTATATATATATGTAATTATATATAGGGATTATAATTATAATTTATTATAATCCTTTATTATAATTTAATTTTGTTCAGGAAGTATTTATCAGTTCAATAAGAAGAAAGAATTACACATATTATAAAAGAGAAGGCAAAATTTTTTGCAAGTGATCTTTTACATGGTGGAAACTAAAACGTTCACCAAAAAACTGAGACATAGTAAGAATTCAGTAAGTTAGCTGGTTCTAACCTTAATACCCAAGAATTGTTAGTTGTTTTCTTATGCAAACGAAAACTAGTTAGAAAACTGATGGAAGTAAATAGCCTATGAATAATAATAATCAGGCAGGGCAAAGTGGCTCATGTCTGTAATCTCAGCACTTTGGGAGGCTGAGGCAGGAGGATCACTTGAGCCCAGAAGTTGAAGACCAGGCTGGGCAACATAGTGAAACCCCATCTCAAAAAGAAAAAAAATTTAAAAATTTAAAATATAATAGTAACCAAAAAGGTGAAATACATAGATGTAAGAAATAATATCTATGTGAAGAAAATTTTAATGCTTTAAGGTTTGCAAAAAGTTATAAGTAAATAGGAAGATACCAAGTTCTTGTAAAGTTAAGATTCAATTTTGAAAAGATGATCAGTATTTAAAATTAAGATAGACTTGTCATGTCCTGTCTGTCATTCCCTCTGGACAGCTAGTTAATGACCTCCTGCTGTACGGGGCCTTGATACCTTCTATGATTGCACTTATCTCCCTATAGTCTAATTAATTTGCACGTCTTATCTCCCCTGACATAGGTACCGGACATACATATGCTCTTTAATTTTCACTCTTTCCATCTAAATACCACTAAAAATTCAAAGTTAATACCGTTCTGAACCTTAAATATTTATTTATTGAGACAGAGCTTCGCACTTGTCACCCAGGCTGGAGTGCAGTGGTGCAATCTCGGCTCACTGCAACCTCCGCCTCCTGGGTTCAAGTGATTCTCCTGCCTCAGCCTTCAGAGTAGGTGGGACAACAGGTGCACACCACCACGCCTGGCTAATTTTTGTATTTTTAGTGGAGATGGAGTTTCGCCATGTTGGCCAGACTGGTCTCGAACTCCTGACTTCAAGTGATCCACCCACCTCGGCCTCCCAAAATACTGGGACTACCGGCGTGAGCCACTGTGCCCGGCCACCCAGCCTATTTTAAATATATATGCCTCATTCTGTGGATACATCTTCCACCATAAAACACCAACAGGATTTTGGGGAAGAGTACACCGAAGTTTACCTGAGAAAAGTGAGAGGGCTAGAAAAACTGTAATAATTATCTTTGGAGGGGGAAGCCCTACTAGATGATGAACTATATTTTGATGCTGCAATAGGTTAAAACAGGTTAGTACTAGAGAAGAAATACCAGGCTCTTTGTGGAAAAGAATGGAGTGCAGAAATAAACGCAAACGCCCGTGGGTATTTAGATTATGCTGCAACTGATGGAAACAAAGTTCAGTCATCAGTGATGTTGGCAGTCTGTTATCTTTGCCTCACTTCTTAAACTGATATTCCAGAGATATTACAGTATACGTGATAATTCACCATAAAAATTATGGAAGGGCCTGTAATCCGAGCACTTTGGGAAGCCGAGGCAGGCAGGTCACTTGAGGCCAGGAGTTTGAGACCAGCCTGGCCAATGTGGCAAAACCTTGTCTTTACTAAAAATATAAAAATTAGCAGGGCATGGCAGCACACACCTATCATCCCAGCTACTTGGGAGGCTGAGGCAGGAGAATCACTTGAACCAGGAAGGCAGAGGTTGCAGTGAGCCGAGATCATGCCTCTGCGCTCTATCCTAGATGATAGAGTGAGACTCTCTCAAAAAAAAAAAAAAAGTTGTGGAAGGAAGCCTGGATTACTTGTTAATAATTTTGGAGTAATGAAGACCTTAGGAGAACATGAAATCTAGAAGTTGAGATATATTTAATATTCAAATTAAGAACTTCAGTGTATAAAAATGATATAGACATGGAAAAATTATTTGCCACAATTTGACTAAAATAGATTCATTTGCTTCATATCTAAAAGATACTTTACAAATCAGTAAGACAACCAAAGTGCCAGCAGAAAAATGGGCAACATATATGAAAATGTATAGTAAAGAAGTGGTCAATAGAAATGAAAGATGGGGAATCATATTCAAAAATTTTAAATGGCAGGCAAGGTGGCTCACTCCTTACAATCCCAGCACTTTGGGAAGCTGAGGCATTAGGATCGCTTGAGGCTAGGGGTTGGAGACCAGCCTGGCTAACATAACAAGACCCCTTCTCTACAAAAAAAAAAAAAAAGCCGAATGTGGTGGTGGATACCTGTAGTTCCAGCTACTCAGGAGGCTGAGGCAGGAGGGTCATTTGAACCTAGGAGTTCGAGGTTACAGTAAACCATGACTGTGCCACTGCATCGTAGCCTGGGCAACAGAATGAGACCTTGTCTCAAAAAAAAAAAAGTTTTTAATGGCAAAACAATTCACATGGTATAAGTACAAGGTTGCCCATTGCTGCATTGTTTAAAGGCGAAATAGAAAAAAACAATACCCAAAGGAATAGTTCTACTATAAGGACACATGCACAGCCATGTTCACTGCAGCACTATTCACAGTAGCAAAGACATGGAATCAACCTAAATGCCCATCAGTAGTACACGGGATAAAGAAGACGTGGTACACATACACCATGGAATACTATGCAGGCATAAAAAGAGCAAGATTGTGCCCTTTGCTGGAACATGGATGGAGCTGGAAGCCATTATTCTTAGCATACTAACTCAGGAACAGAAAACCAAATACCACATGTTCTCACTTACAAGTGGAAGCTAAATGATGTGAACTCATGGACACATAGAGAGGAACAACACACACTGGGGCCCATAGGAGGGTGGAGGGTGGGAGGAGGGAGAGGATCAGGAAAGATAACTAATGGGTACTAGGCTTAATACCTGGGTGGCGAAATAATCTGTACAACAAACCCCATGGCACAAGTTTACATAACAAACCTGCACACGTACCTCAGAACTTAAAATTTTTTGTAAAAGGCCAGGCCAGTGGCTCATACCTGTAATCCCTGCACTTTGGGAGGCCAAGGCGGACAGATCACTTGAGCCCAGGAGTTCAAGACCAGCCTGGCCAACAAGTTGATAACCCATCTCTACAAAAATAGAAAAATTAGCCAGGCATGGTGGCGGGCACCTGTAATCCCAGCTACTCGGGAGGCTGAGGCAGGAGAATCAGTTGAACCCAGGAGGTGGAGGTTGCAGTGAGCCGAGATCGCACCACTGCATTCCAGCCTGGGCAACAAAGCAAGACTCTGCCTCAAAAAAAAAAAAAAAGTTAAAAAAAAAGGTGAGTGGGGGCAGGTTTAATTAGACCTTTCCTCTAGACACTCTCTGGAAGGTCTTGGAATTAAAAATGTATATCTTTTGTATACCCACTCACACACTTGGCAAGCTGAATTGTCCACAGAGTTTTCCAAACCTTAATAATACAAAACCATAAAAAAAAACAGCAACCATAAATAGGAGGTAGAATAAATTGTATACAGTGCAGTCATTTCATAGAGTACTGTGCAACCATTCTAAACGCTCAGGTATCTCTGTGCTAATATTAGATTCCAAAATGCATTGTTACATACCTCACTTTTTAAACTTAGTAGTGTGTGTGTGTGTTTCTTTTTAAAATGACGAGTAGGTTGAAGAGGGCAGGGAATAGGGGTGGGTGAGCGTGAACAGAGTCAGGCTGATTGCTGCAGGGTCCCTTGCATTAGTTCAGGTGAGAAGAGACCCGAGTAGGCCAGTGAGCCTGGAGGAGAGGCTCTCTGTGTGTTTAATTGGTTTCCAGCTTTTTTTCTCTATTCATGTAGGTTATACACGTTTCTTCTGTGAATTTTTATTTAAATGATTTTTTGTTGTTACTGGATCTACAAACAGCCCAACTCCAAGGAATCTGGCATCTCTCAGTGGAGCATACAGGTGACTTCATAATCTAACCGCATTAGTAACTGCCAAAATCGGAAGTAATTTCTCTCTGTTTAAAAGGCAGTGAAACAAATTTTCAGAGCAGGTTTCTTCAACTGAACAAAATATTTTGGACCTTAGAGGTGGTATGGCTCTCCTGATCAGGGAGGGACAGTGAAAGGTTTGAGCTCTGACACTGCCCAGCTCTCTGGATACAACCAAGTGACTTTCTTTGAGTGGGGAGAAGTTTCCTGACTCCTTGTATTACCTTCCTTAGGGTAGACTTTGGGCCTGCAGTGACATTAGTCCTAACTTGCTCTTAGGTAAAAAGAGTTCATCTTTTCTAATAGGAACATGACAGCAAAGCAGCTCAAACTCCAAAGAGGCGTTAGGCCATAGATTGTACAGATGTCTACATTTTCTTAATCATAGTCTATATTCTTAGAAAAGGATATACAGATCTTAGTGTAACATACTTAAGTAAAATAGTTTCTTTCATTTGCTTCACAAGAGAAAGCAAAAAAATTTGGCTGGGCACAGTGGCTTACACCTGTAATCCCAGCACCTTGAGAGGCTGAGGCAGTTGGATCACTTCAGCCCAGAAGCTCAAGACCAGCCTGGGCAACATGGTGAAACCTCATCTCTACAAAAAAAATACAAAAATTGGGCCAGGCGCTGTGGCCCACACCTGTAATCCTAGCACTTTGGGAGGCCAAGGCGGGCGGATCACCTGAGGTCAGGAGTTCAAGACCAGCCTGACCAACACAGCAAAAATCTGTCTTTACTAAAAATACAAAAACTAGCTGGGCATGGTGGTGCGCACTTGTAATCCCAGCTACTTGGGAGGCTGAGGCAGTAAAATCGCTTGAACCCAGGAGGCAGAGGTTGCAGTGAGCTGAGATCGTGCTACTACACTGCAGCCTGGGCAACAGAGTGAGACTCCATCTAAAAGAAAAAAAAAAAAATTAACCAGGTGTGGTGGCATGTGCCTGTAGTCCCAGGTACTCAGAGGGCTGAGGTGGGAGAATTGCTTGACCCCAGGAGGTTGAGGCTGCAGGTGAGCCAAGATTGCACTACTGCATTCCAGCCTGGGCAACAGTGAGACACTGTCTCAAAAAAAAAGAAAAAGAAAAAAATATATATATATAATGTAGTATTGTATATATTGTATATATATAATGTAGTATTGTTCAGAGGGTCTTGGGATTTTCCTGAGGGTCCTAACCGGCTTCTCTGTCCTCATCAGCTACCCATCCTTCTCTACCTACGTTGTGCCCCTGCAGGGCATACACAAGTAACCTCCAAGAACGCGATGCCGCTGCTCCTTTAGCCCAACACCTGTGCCTTAGCCTCTGCTGCTCCATTGGCTAAAATGTGCTTCACCCTTATGTGCATAGTGACAGTTATTCAGCTTTCAGAGCCGAGCCCACGGGTCATGTCCTGCCTGTCATTCTCTCCAGACAGCTGATTAATGACCTCCTGCTGTATGGGGCCTTGATACCTTCCATGATTTCATTTATCTCCCTGTTGTCTAATTATTTGCCTGTCTTATCTCCCCTGACATAGGTACCTGACATACGTATGCTATTTAATTTTTACTTTGCGTCTAAATACCATTAAAAATTCAAAATTAATCCTACACTGAACCTTAAACACTTCTTTATTTTTAATAACTTTATGTCTCATCCTGTGGATACATCTTCACTTACACATTGTGTCTTTTACTATTGAGCATTTGTATTCATTATTTGCTGTTAAAAGCCTGGCTGTGACTATCTTATGGCTGAATCTTTTTTTTTTTTTTTTTAAAGTAGTTGTGTGTATATATATATATATAAAATTTTTTTTTTTTTTTTTATCATTCTTGGGTGTTTCTCGCAGAGGGGGATTTGGCAGGGTCATAGGACAATAGTGGAGGGAAGGTCAGCAGACAAACAAGTGAACAAAGGTCTCTGGTTTTCCTAGGCAGAGGACCCTGCGGCCTTCCGCAGTGTTTGTGTCGCTGGGAACTTGCGATTAGGGAGTGGTGATGACTCTTAACGAGCATGCTGCCTTCAAGCATCTGTTTAACAAAGCACATCTTGCACCGCCCTTAATCCATTTAACCCTGAGTGGACACAGCACATGTTTCAGAGAGCACAGGGTTGGGGGTAAGGTCATAGATCAACAGCATCCCAAGGCAGAAGAATTTTTCTTAGTACAGAACAAAATGGAGTCTCCTATGTCTACTTCTTTCTACACAGACACAGCAACAATCTGATTTCTCTGTCTTTTCCCCACATTTCCCCCTTTTCTATTCGACAAAACCGCCATCGTCATCATGGCCCGTTCTCAATGAGCTGTTGGGTACACCTCCCAGACAGGGTGGCGGCCGGGCAGAGGGGCTCCTCACTTCCCAGAAGGGGCTGCCGGGCAGAGGCGCCTCCCACCTCCCGGACGGGGCGGCTGGCCGGGTGGGGGCTGCCCCCCACCTCCCTCCTGGACGGGGCGGCTGGCCGGGCGATGGCTGAATCTTTGTGTACATGTTGTGTGAATTATTTTCTTAATCTGTAGTCTTAGAAGGAAAATTATGGTTGTGTGTGTGTTCCATATTCATTACACATTGGTGGCTCTGGCAGATATACGCCCCTTAGGAACTAATGCTATCTGATTCTTTCTGTGCCTCAGCTCTACGCTTTCTACTTTGAGAGTGATCATGGTTCTCTTTAACATCTTTTGTCCTGAGTGTTGAGCAGTTCACCACAGCATGTGTGTAGTATGAGGAGGGAAAAAAAACTTAAGGAACTTGGCAATTTTTTGTTCCAAGTGAAAGACCTAGACGGTTTTTTGTTGTTTTTATTATTTCCCATTGAAACTCTTAAATATGGTTTGGATTGTTTCCACCTCTTGGCTGTTGTGAATAGTACTTCTGTGAACGTGGGTGTACAAGGTCTTTGAGACTGCGCTTTCAATTGTTTTGGTTATATCCCCAGAAGTAGGATTGTTGGATCGTATGTTCTTTTTTTTTTTTAAAGCAGGGTATTACTCTGTCACCCAGGCTGGAACGCAGTGACATGAACACAGCTCACTGCAGCCTGAACTTCCTGGGCTCAAGAGGTCCTTCTCCCTCCACCTTCCCAGTAGCTGGTGTACGCCATCATGCCCCAAAAATTTATTTTGATTTTTGTAGAGGCAGAGTCTCACTATGTTGCCCAGGCTGGGCACAAATTTGTGGCCTCATGCAATCCTCCCACCTTGGTCTTCCAAAGTGCTGGGATGACAAGTGTGAGCCACTGCGCCTGACTACTATTTTTAATTTTTAAATTATTGTTATTATTTTTAGAAACAAGAGTCTTGCTCTGTTGCCCAGGCTGGAGTGCAGTGGTGCAATCATGGCTCACTGCAGCCTTGACCTCCCTGGCTCAATTGATCCTCCCACCTCAGCATCCCACATAGCTGGGGCTACAGGCATGTGCTACCATGCCCAGCTAATTTTTAACTTTTTCATAGGCATGGGATCTCTCTATGTTGCCCACACTGGTCTCAAACTCGTGATTCAAGCAATCCTCCTGCCCCAGCCTCCCAAAGTGCTGGGATTACAGGCATAAGCCACCATGCCTGGCCAGTATCTTACTGTTAAGGAATTAAAATCCAATTAAAAAATATTTAGCCTCATATACACACACACATACACATATGTGTGTATATATTTATATATATTTCTAATATATAGAAGTTTCTATATATTTCTATTATATCTAAGATACAATATACAGTTATCATGTTATCCCCCAAATAAAGGTGATTTCCAAGACCAGAACTGGAAGGTGGGAATTATTCTGTATGACCCAGCTATTTGGATCTGGATTTTTTCAGGGAGAAGGAATCAGATTTAGATGACTGGCAAGGAAAGATCATGCATTTTACAGAAGGAGGTGTATTATAGGGGTGGAACTTTGGCTTAGTTCCAATCATTTTCAGCAGTATCTAGTATAGCCACCTCTTATCCCAGGGCAGCCTCACAAAGTCATTGCCATCTGTGATATGGTAGCAGGGATATGAGCCCTGGAATCACTCAGACTTCATTTCAGAATGCTGACCCCACCAGTTACTAGCTGTGCCCTGAACAGAACAAAAGAGAATACTGGTTTTATTCATTTGTAAAACTGGAAAAATAATTGTGGAGTTGTTTTGAGAATTCATACATGAAAATAGAGTGCATGGTACATACCTGTAGGCCTTCCTTGCCCCCATCATCCCACACCTCCACCTTCCAAGGTGCATGTTCAGTGTCCCTTACCTGTGTTCCCACAATGGTTGGTTATCATAGAAGCTGTCACATTGGTGTAATTGTTCACCTTGGCACATTCTATTAGTTTGTGAATTCCTTATCTTTGAATCTCTAGCAACTTAGCAGAGGACCTAGTTCATAGTAGGTACCAAAGAAGTATAAATATGAATAGAATGAGTGCATGTCTTGCTGTTTTATTTCTCAGGGGAGGAATGTGGGCCTATTTCAGCAGGACAATAGATAGATACCGTATATAGTGTAGTCAGTAATTACGAACTAGTCTAGTGGCTCTGAAAGTTTTTGGTGTTAGGACTCCTTTACAGTCTTAAAAATGATTGTGGGCCCCAAACACCCTTTGTTTATGTGGACTGATATTCAGGGTCTTTAGGAATTTAAAATTAAAATATGAATTTTAAGGTAATGATAAACACATTACATGTTAACACATTTTCATGAAAAATAACATTCATGCCTCCCATTTTTTTCTAATGATTTTACAGTCATTAGAAAATATTTTACAGTTTTCTAAGCCTTTTGCATGTCTGACTTAAGATGGAGTTTCCTGTTTGCTGCATTCAGTCTGTTGTGATAAGTCATTTTGATTAAAGTATATGCAAAAAATCAAGCCTCACATAGATATGTAGTTTG